>NC_000016.10:61532197-61835227 GCF_000001405.40 Homo sapiens
TTCCCTGCTCCTCTCTTGGATGGCATAAATGAGAAAATTTGAAATGTGTTGCTACACAAAATATAAAAACAAAACAAAGTGGCATAGCTGAGTCTGTGAAACCCATTTAATCTAATCCTTACATGTTTATAGGACAGGAAATTGAGATTCCAAAGGGAAATTGACTTGGGCATGGCCAAATGGGAAGCAGGAGCAGCAATCATTGAAATCCGACGGTTGACCAAGCAAATTAGGTCCCTTTGGGCCGTATGAACAGATAACCGTCAAAAATCACACCACCTTTTTGCTTGACTTTGCCTAAAGCTGAATAAATAGATAAATCTCAGTTAAAATAAATATATAAATATTAATTGAACTCAGACTAAGTATTTACGAACTACCTCCAAAAGAAAATACCACTGAAGCACACAAGCTTCGTCACAAACACAAGCCTCCTATCTCCTATCGTTTAGAGTGTTCGACTGTTTAAAAAATATTGTTTCTTCAAAAGAAATGTTCATTTGCTTCTATGACTCTCGCTCTTTCTCAAAGACAAAGAAAATGCATAGTCCACCCATAAAAAATTATAACATTTCTATAGTCTTTAAAATTTTTATATGTACTTCTATACACACATTTATACATATATGTTTATATTGAATTTTAAGCAAAACTTTTCCATCTATCTTAACACAACAAGAAGAACCACTGTTCAATATTCTTGAGCACTACCAAAGGCCATGCATTCAGCTAAATATTTTATAATCATTTTAATAAATCCTCAGAGAAGCCATCTCAGGTATTATTATTATGCATAATTTCAAATTTGAATATATACAAAAATAAAAACATCTCAACTCAAATGATTCAAGAAATATTCACAATATCACATACTTACTGAGTGGCCTAAGAGGAACTTGAACCTATTTCTGTTTGTTATTTTTGTGCTTTTAACCATCATGCAATATTTTTTTTTCCTTCTAAACTTTCGTTTCTCTCTGTCTTTTCCACAATGCATTATTCCTCAGTCATGTTCATAGCCTCTCCCAGGATGAGCAGGTATCTTTGGTATTAGAGAGTCTTTATTCTCCTTCAAATTTTAGGCTTGGACAATAAGAGTAATTGGGCTTGTGGTGTTACTGATTAAAACCTCTCACTTGTTCCCCATCCTTATCATCAGGGAATGAAACCTTAAACTTCAAGATGTCCAGAATGTTCCATTTAAGTTCCAGACCTAAAATGCCAGTTTTTTTGTTTGCTTGTGTGTTTGTTTCTTTTTTCTCACAAAGGGAGCTCATACGGTTGACTTGGTCTCCCTTGTACTTCCACATATCTTGTCAAAGAAGACAGATATGTTTTTTTTTTTTCGTGGGGTCCAGGGTTCTTAAGTTTAAGATCTGGATCTCCTTACAGACTGTGGCACCTTGGCCATAAGCATCAATATTCTCTCATTCATAAAACTGAGAGGATAACCTGTGTGACACTGTATTATTATAAGAGTTGCAAAGCATGTTCATATAAGCTGTTTATTCAAGATATAAATTAGAGTACATATAAGGGAATCTTTTGATTTTCACATCATTTTACAAGTCTACATGATGCTTTACTTTATATCTGGTGTGGAGATAATATAGCCAACTGTCTTGATTTACCCAGAACTGAGGGTATTTGTAGGACATGGAACATTCAGTGCTAAACTAGAACAGGCCCAAGAAAGTGGGGGCAAGATGGTCACTCTATCTGGACCTTAGGGACATGACAGCTGTATAGCTACTCCAGTTCCTACAGTCTTAAACATTTAATCTTAGTATACCCAGCTCATATGTGGCACCAGAGGACCCTGTGCTTATCTTATCAGAGTGTGTCCAGAAGTATCAATCACTTCCCTATCACAGTCTAACATGAAAACATTTTACTTGGTCTTTGCTTTGGGTGAATCTAAGTACAATTCACTACTCACCTATCACTAGCATTCTTAAAAGTGGCAAAAAGATTGTGGCCTTTCTACCAAAATTTTCAAATGAATTCTTATAGACTCTTTGAACGATGTATATTTTAAAGGATTTAGAATAGCTGTTTTCTCCCTTAATAAAATTTTTAAAAGAAATGAGAGGGAAGCAGAGCTAAAATCATAAACTAAATACCAAAGAAGCTTTTATGTCCTGTTCCAGGTACTGACAGATATCAGTGTAAAAACTAAAATTCTTTGAAGATTGACAAAATGTATACTTTTGGAAATCCCAGGCTAATAAAGACTTTGTGAATTCATCTTAGAGCTGAATAATAATCAGGATCATACAATATTTTTTGTAAAACACTAATTTTCCATTTTCAAATGATAATTTTCCAAACTTACTCTACTCTGCATCATTACATTGTCAAGAGGCAACTTTTCTTTATTATATTTGAAACACTTAGAATTAGTAATTGCGCATCCATTATTCTCTTCGGTGACATATTAGCTCTCTTTTCTCTTTTACCTTATTCAGTTATTTGGTTTAAAAAATAATACCTAGAATATATTCCACATCTAAACTATAAAAAAAGATGTCAGTTTCAGGGAATCTTATAATTGAAGAAGTGTATGTTTTGGGACAGATATTATACAATAGGAAATCTTTCTTAAGGTCATTAATAATCAATTGTCATATAGCATGATGGTTGGAAAGAGAAGAGAAATAAAGGTCAAATGCAATTTAAGAAAACGATGTATATATACAGGCTAGTACCATACTGTTTTAACTAATGTAGGTTTTTTTTCCCTACATGTGCATCGATGGAGGAGTGGATAAAGAAAATGTGATATTTACATACAATGGAATATTTTTTTCAGCCTTTAAAAAGAAAGAAATTCTCATTTATGTGACAATGTAGATGGATCTTGTGGATATTATGCTAAGTGAATTAAGTCAGTCACAGAAGGAAAATACCACATGATTTCACTTACGCAACATATCTAAAACAGTGAAACCCTTAGTCTTAGAGAATGGAATTGTGATTGTCAGAGATTATGGGGGAGGAGCAAATGTGGAATCAGTAATCAGTAAGTATAAAGTTTCAGCTAAGGATGATGAATAAGTTCTAGAGATCTACTAAACAACATTTTGCCTATAGTTCAGAATACTGTATTAGTACACTTAAAAATTTAAGAGGGTAGATTTCATGTAAGGTGTTTGTACAGCAATAATAAGAATAAAAATTTAAAAGGAAATTTATTGACACTGCTGAAAAAAAGAAGGATGAAAGCAAGAAAGGAGAAAAAGAGAAAGAGAAAGAGAGAAAAGAAAGAAAGAGAAAGAAAGAAAAAAGAAAGAGAAAGAAAGAAAAAAGAAAGAAAGAGAAAGAAAGAAAAAAGAAAGAAAGAAAGGAAGGAAGGAAGGAAGGAAGGAAGGAAAGAAAGAAAGAAAGAAAGAAAGAAAGAAAGAAAGAAAGAAAGAAAGAAAGAAACAGAGAAAGAGAAAGAGAGGAGAGGGAGGGGGAGGAGAGGAGAGGGAGAAAAGAAAGAGAAGAAAACAGAAGTGGCAAACAACAAAAGAATAGGAAGAGAGGCAAGGAAAAGGGATTGAAGATGTAAGACATGGAAGATGAGTTGTATATTTTCTTTTTTCCATCTTTTATTTTAGATTCAGTGGGTACATGTACAGGTTTATTACTTGGGTATATTGCATGATGCTGAGGTTTGGGGTACAAATGATCCCACCACCCAGGAAGTGAGCATAGAATCCAACAGTTTTTAATCCTTGCCTCACTCTCTCCCTTCTACCTTCAGTAGTCCTCAGTTTCTATCATTCACATCTTTATGTCCATGAGTACCAAATGTTTAGCTCACACTTGTAAGTGAGACTATGCAGTATCTTCTGGCATTAATTAATTAGGAAACGGGTCTTCACCTCCATCCTTTTGGGGCAAAGAATCTGATATTTTCGTTTTTATGACTGCATAGTATTCTATGATGTATATGTACCACATTGTCTCTCCAATCCACCGTTGATGGGCAACTAGATTTATTCAATGTCTTTGTTATTGTGAATAGCACTACAAAGAACATTCAAGTACATGTGTCTTATTGGTAGAAAAATGTGTTTTCATTTGTACATATACCCAATAATGAGATTACTGAGATGGACAGTAGTTCTGTTTTAAGTTATTTGAGAAATCTCCATGCTGCTTGGCTGAACTAATTTACATTCCTACTGACAGTGTATAGGTATTCCCTTTTCTCTGCAGCCTTGCTAGCAACTGTTGTTTTTTGACTTTTGAATAACAGTCCTTCTGACTGTTGTGATATGGTATCTGATAGTGGTTTTCATTTGCTTTTATCTGATTATTGGCGTGGAACATTTTTTCATGTTTATTGAAACTTGTATGTCTTCTTTAGAGAAGTGTCTGTTCATGTCTTTTGGCCATTTTTTTAATGGGTTGTTTGTATTTTCTTGTTCAATTGTTTAAGTTCCTTATAGATTCTGGAAATTAGGCCTTTGTCAGATGCATAGTTTATGAATATTTTCTCCCATTCTGTAGGTTGTCTGTTTACTTTGCTGATAGTTTCTCTTTTTTGTTGTTTTTGTTTGTTTGTTTTTTGAGACATAGTTTTACTCTATTGCCCAGGCTGGAGTGCAGTGGTGCGATCTAGGTTACTGTAACCTCCACCTCCCGGATTCAAGCGATTCTCATGCCTCAGCCTCTCAAGTAGCTAGGATTACAGGTGTGTACATCTATGCCTCGCTAATGTTTGTATTTTTTGTAGATAAGGGGTTTCACCACTTTGGCGAGGCTAATCGCCAACTCCTGGCGTCAAGTGATCCACCTGCCTCAGCCTCCCAAAGTGTTGGGATTACAGGGGTGAGCCACTGCGCCCAATCTGATAGTTTCTTTTGCTGTGCAGAAGCTTTTTAGTATAATTAGGTCCCACTTTTCAATTTTTGTTTTTGTTGCAATTGCTTTTGAGGACTTAGTCATAAATTCTTTCCAAAGGCCAATGTCCAGAATAGTGTTTCCTGGATTTTTGTCCAAGATTCTTATATCTCGATGTCTTATATTTAAATATTTAATACGTCTTCAGTTAATTTTTATATATGGCAAAAAGTAGGGGTCCAGTTTTATTCTGCATATGGCTAGCCAGCTATCTCCAACATTTATTAAATAGAGAGTCCTTTCTGCTTTGCTTAGTTGTGTTGACTTTGTCGAAGATCAGATCGCTATAGAAGTATGCCTTTATTTCTGGGTTTTCTATTCTGCTTCATTGGTCTATATGTCTGTTTTTGTGCCAGTACCATGCAGTTCTAGTTACCGAAGCCTTATAGTTTGAAGGCCAGTATAGTTTGAAGTAAGGGAATGTGATGCTACCAGCTTTGTTCTTTTTGCTTAGGATTGTTTTGGTTATTTGGGCTCTTTTTTGATCCCATAGGAACTTTAGAATAGTTTTTTCTAGTTCAGTGAAAAATGACATCGGTAGCTTTAAAGAAATACATTGAATCTGTAGATTGCCTTGAGCAGTATAACCATTTTAATGATATTGCATAGATGATATAGACCAATGAAAAAGGAATAGAGAGTCTAGATATAAAGCTGCATACCCACACCCATCTGATCTTTGACAAAGCCAACAAATACAAGCAAAGAGAAAAGGGCTCGTTAGTCAGTAAATAGTGCTGGGATAACTGGCTAGCCATATGCTGAAGATTGAAACTGGACCCATTCCTTACTTCCTTACACCATATACAAACATCAACTCAAGATAAATTAAAGATGTAAATGTAAATCCTAAAACTATAAAAACCCAGGAATATAACCTAGGTAATACCATTCTGGACATAGGACCTGGCAAAGATTTCATGATTAAGATGCAAACATCAAGTGCAACAAAAATAAAAATTGACAAATGGGACTAAAACTAAAGAGCTTCTGCAAAACAAAAGAAACTATCAACACAGTAGACAGACAACCTACAAAATGGGAGAATATATTTGCAAACTATGTATATGACAAAGGCCTAATATCCAGAATCTATAAGGAACTTAAACAAATTTACCAGAAATAAACAAACAACCCCATTAAAAAGAAAGAAAAGGACAAGAGCAGACACTTTTTAAAAGAAGAGATATACATGGCCAACAAGCATATGAGAAAATGCTCAACATCACTAATCATTAGAGAAACGGAAATCAAAACCACAATGAGATACCATCTCACACCAGTCAGAATGGCTACTATTAAGTAGTCAGAAAATAACAGATGCTGGTGAGGTTGCAGAGAAAAGGGAACATTTATACACTGCTGATGGGAATGTAAATTAATTTTGCCATTGTGGAAAGCAGTCTGGCAATTTCTCAAAGAACTCAAAGCAGAATTACCACTCAACTCAGCAATTTCATCATTGGATATATATACCCAAAGTAATATAAATTGTTCTACCATAATAATGCATGCACTCACATGTTCATTGCAACACTATTCACAATAGCAAAGACATGGAATTAACCTAGATGCCCATCAATGGTAGACTGGATAAAGAGAATGTGGTACATACACACTGTGGAATACTGTGCAGCCATAACAAAACAACAAGATCATGTCATTTGCAGCAACCTGGATGGAGCTGGAGGTCATTATCCTAAGTAAAGTAATGCAGAAACAGAAAACCAAATACCACATGTTCTTATTTATAAGTGGGAACTAATGGACACAAAGAAGAAAACAACAGACACCGTGTCCTCCATGAGGGTAAAATGTGAGAAGAGGGAGAGGATAAAAAAACTACCTGTTAGGTATGATGCTTATTACCTGGGTGAACAAAATAATCTGTACATCAAACCATTGTGAAACAGAGTTTACGTATATAACAAACCTGACATGTACCCCTGAACTTAGTTAAAAGTTAAAAAAAAAGAACAACAACAACAACAAAAACCCTCCAGTTTCACAAGGTGAAAATGCATCATTTTTATTAATGAAATTAGCAATAAAGGAAACTCTAAGGGCACATGAAGACATTCTAAAACGTATCCTCATGTATCACAGGTATACTGTCTTAACCACTACAGCATCTTCTTGAGAGCAATTTGATTATGTTTATGAAGCTAGGAAAATAATAAGTTGCATACGTTGACTAGCAATCCTGATGTTCTACTGGAGAACTTTCAGAAACATCCTAATGGTCTAGAATAAGTAACACTATAATGAACATCTTCACCTAAAAAAATGAAGGGAAAATGCGATTAGCAAGATTTCCTTGGAACATTGGTTAGAGTAGTTAATTTGTGATAGATTTAATTGTACTGAAAATTATATAGCTATGAAAACTATAATAATGGAGATCATAAAGCCAATAGAAATATTATTATATGATAAGAGAATACAGTTCTAATAAAACTAGAATTAAATAAATTAGAAATAAAAATTATATCCAACCATGGTGAAACCCCATCTCTACCAAAAATACAAAAATTAGCTGGGTGTGGTGGCGGGCGCCTGTAGTCCCAGCTACTCGAGAGGCTGAGGCAGGAGAATGGCGTGAACCCAGGAGGCAGAGCTTGCAGCGAGCCGAGATCGCGCCACTGCACTCCAGCCTGGGCGACAGAGCGAGACTCCACCTCAAAAAAAAAAAAAAAAAGAAATTATATCCATATTGTTAAATAGGTACATTAAAAGGAATTGGAAGAATAGGAACATGCATACTTTATTAGGATGGTGAATTTATAGGAACTGTTATTAATTTTTGGTTCTTTTTGCTATCTTTCCGTAATTGCATTCAATATAAAATTTTGAGTGTTTGTGTGTATGTGTGTGTGTGTGTTTGTGTCTATGTGTGTTTGAGAGAGAGAGAGTAAAAGAGAGAGAGGTGGAGGGGAGGAGGTGATCCTGAAAAGTGACAGACAATTTAGGGCCATATTGTTCATAAATTTTGGTAAGAGATGACAAAAATTTGAATCAGAACAATGCTCATGGGGATAAGGAGAATAACTGTGTCTGTTATTGGCCCATTCGTCTTTTTTTTTAGACTTGCTTATATCTTTTCCCTCTGTATTCTATGGTATTCTTTTCTTGCATTTTCTGAGCTTTAGCAGAGGCTGAAAATTATTTCCAGGTGGTGTACATAAACAAGGAAGTGACCAATATCAGCATAAAGTTTCCTTTAAATATAGTCATTACCTTTTGATTACCATGGAAACTTTGCTTCCTTCCAATGTTCTTTGTCAAATGCTAGTTTCTCATTTTACTTGAAAAGCCAGGAAGAGCCTCACTGTGCTGCAGCTATGTTGTGTTCTGAAATATTTGTCTCCCTATGTCACCTTTTCCATCGCAATCAGCATTTTCTGCCACATTGTCTCCTGGGAAGCTTTATAGTTTCACCCTTTAATGGGCAGAGTCAGTTTTTTCTCGAGGACTCAAATGAAAATTGTGCTTCCTTGCATGGGGCCATGACACTTCGAGTGTTACACAATTAAATTACTCCATTTGCAGAAGTAGTTCAGTGTCCTGGCTATTTACTCACATGAGACACATAATTTCCATATGCGAAATTGGAGTACAACTCTCTTTTTTTCTTACATCTAAGAGATCTCATAGTATCTAATTAACAAAAGTCTGTTAAGTACCTCGAGACAAATCTATGACATTCTGTTAAAACCATTACATAATTTATAGATTAATGCTAACTGTTCTCACTTTATTTCAATAGTTATCATTAAATTTTAAGAAAAAAAAATCCTGCTGCTTTTCATTCTAGGATGTATTACAAAGACCTGACCGTGAGAGAAGCAACTTGGTCAAAAAATAATATATTTAATTTAGAATGGCCTTGTGTCTCCAAGTTGCTGATATTTAAAACCACCATGCAGTTTCTTATTTGTGTTTTCCAGTAAGCTGTTGCAAGATAAGGACCGTGCATCTTAGTCATCAGACAAAACAACAGAAACTACCTATTTAGGGTGTATAAAGTGCCCCTATAGCAGAATTTCTGCAACCTCAGAATTGTTGAGGTTTTAAGGCAGAAGAGGTCTTTGTTGTTTGGGACTATCCTGTGCCATGCATGATGCTCAGCAGCATCCCTATATGCCAGTTGCATTCCTCCACCCTGGTTACAAGAACAAAATGTGTCTTGAAAGAGCTGCCAAATGTTCCCTGGGGGACAAAATTGACTCTCTAGTCGATTGAGAACCTCTGCCCTGAGGTGAATTCCAGTGTGTGTCTGATAACCTACATAGTTTTCAGTCCATCTTACAGATACCATCAAAATCAGCTGAAATAAATATCCTGTAGAGATATAGCTATGGATATTAGCTGTCATTTTGACATAATGGATAAATAAATAGATATTTGTTTAATTTGTACTGTTTTAATTTTAATTATTTAGATACCTTTATTGGTCATATTTCCATCAATAGTGACGTGATGGTTTCAACAAAAAGCATGGTTGATCAGAATCAAAGTCTCACATGGTGGCATAATAAAGACTAATAATACTACTGGATTTAAGTAAATATCAGTCACACTGAAAGACAAATACCACATGCTCTCGCTCATATTTGGGAGCTAAAATAAGTGATCTCACGGACTTAGAGAATAGAACAGTAGATACCAGAGACTGGTAAGGGTGGGTAGTTGTGAGGGGTGTGATAAGGAGAAGCTGGTTAATGGGTACAAGCATACAGTAAGATACAAGAAATAACTTCTAATGTTTGATAGAAGAATAGGACACTAAGGCTTAGCAACAATATTTTGTATATATCAAAACAACTAGAAGACAGGACTCGAAATGATTCCAACATATAGAAATAATAGGTACTCAAAGTGACGGATACTCCAAATGCCCTGACTTGATCATTACACATTCTATGACTTTAACACTCACATGTACCCCATAAATATGTAAAATATTATGTATCAATAAAAACACTGACAGCATAGATGACATTATTCTCAAATAGCAGGTGACTGTTTTCAGGACTCTACTGCATTATAGAGTGACTACAACCAGGCAGAGTCTGTGTTGGGCACTCATCCTCCAATCTCTATGTATTATACAAAGGAAGCCAATCGTGTGTGTGTGTGTGTATGTGTGTGTGTGTGTTTTCTTTTTTTAAAAAAGATAACATAAGTTTATAAGTATGAGGCTTATAAATTAGCAATGGTACCAATGGGGAATTTCACAGCTCTGTAACTGATTATGAAACATCAAATGTTATGTTGCTAGCCTGTTAAAAATTATGCACAGTTTTTAGAGTCTATTTCCTAATTAGTGTAATTAAAACCAAATTTTATACTTGGGTAAGGTGATAGATTGTGTCAACTGCTCTTTCTTCTTCTTAGTTGAATTTTAAAATTGCACATTCATAATGTATTCATATTCAGTAAAGTAAGAAGATGTAAGACATTTAATAATATGAAATATAGCACATTCTACATTTTTGTAAAGTAGCACGCTGAACAGAATAAAACTAATCTGATGAAGCTCCGGAATATAATCTTCCATAGTTATTTAAAATTTACCTAGTCCAGATGTCTGCCTATTATAAGACTTGGCAGGGTTCTCTACCTTACACTCTTATGAAGAATGAGAAAGTATTTTTGGAAAGCCTTAGCTTATTCCTCAAAATAATAATAATAACAAATTAAAAGATACCTTGTGGTTTAATCAGTTGTGTTAAATCGAGTTTTTGTTTTCAAGTTATAGAAACTAAAATTGGCTACTTTTAAAAAATTCATTATTATTAAAGTATAAAATTTAGGGCCAGGAATGTAGACAGGATAGAAAATAGAAACTAGAAATCATATGGAATTTTCTCCAACTCTTACTATGCTTCTCTTCATGCAATAACCCATTTGCTTCCCAGTCTTCAGCCTGACTCTCTAATATTCAGTCCACAAGAAATAAAATCCCAAATAGACCATCTGAGTTTTTGCTGTCGGCAAGTAACCAAACTGTGATAAATATCTCATAGCCCCAACTCCAAATGTCTAGTTAGAGATTTAATTTTCATCTGGGGTGAACCCATAAATTGTGTCTGGAGCTTGGGTGTGGGGATTTATACACAATATGGCAAAAGGGACTCACCCAAGAGGATGAAGGAAGCTGCTAAGAAACAATGGTGAATTGCTATAATCTGGGAAGTTTCCTACAAATATCTATTAAGTAATTTGTTACTAAGAGAATAATCTCTGTTTTGGACCAATCAGTACTCTCATTTAATAGTCCAAGTGTTAACCCTTGTCTTTCTCCCATACATTGGTATTTTTCCTGTACAAGTGACTGCTAGGTTGCTTAGCTTTTAATCTGCTTTATATTGACTCTTTTTAGCTGTCTCCAGCCTGTGCACACCACGAACAGTGCATACCTAAACTTAGGTGAGGGAAAGTCACCCAATTCATTTTTATTCTCTCAGAATTGACTCAAGCGGTATTTTTTTAGTACCTTTTGAACTTGGTGAATTGGTTACACTTTTTGCCTCACTCGTCCTGATCCACTGTCCTTCCCCCTTTGCAATGAGAAAATCTTCTCTACCCCATTTGAAAGTTTAGATATTGGTTACATGTCTTACTAGCTGTGCAATCTTGGAAAAGTTTGTAACACCTTTAAGATTCATGTACCATATCTGTAAAATGGGCATGGCGGTATCTATACAATAGAGATAGTATAAAAAATAAATGAAATTATTCACGTAAAATACTCAATTTAGTGCCTGGTACAACTTAAGTATCTGCTACCCCATGGATGTTAGCTGCTACTACTACTACTACTACTAGTAGTTACTAGTACTAATTTTATAGCTACCATTATCACCACTACCTCTAATACTTCTATCACTATTGATCTTATTGACCTGGTAATCATTTAGGATATCTCTGATAACTGAAAATCAATTATCAGAGTTTTAATGTGCATGGTATACTTTAGGTTCCCAGAATATCACTGGTCCAATCCATAGATTTCCCCACTTTGTATTCTAATCATTGAGGTATCATGGGAGATTAGTTTGAACAAATATAAGCAAAGGCTAAAATAAATGTCTACATATAAGTTGCCTTCAAGCAGAATATCTTTTTAATCAAAATGCTATGAAACAATTTTCCCCTCACTCTGCAGCAGGTAGAGCACAATCATTATTTGCTCCTGCTTCTGAGCGCTCAGGCTTCCCTCTGTGGAAGCTGTTCCTTGTTGGCTCTGCCTGCATAACAATGACAGGAGGAAGAGCTGCTTTATTTTACTCCCTTCCTCGGAGGAAAATGGGTGCCTTCTTTAATGTGAGTGGTCAGAAGCCCTAGTACTTCCTTTTGTGACACAGTTTAAAGTCAGAGTCTCTGGAGCAACCTAGGAGGAAATCATTTGCACATCCATGCTTTATGAGAAGATGATGACAATGACATGTTAATAATTACTAAGTTTGCATATAGAGGAGGTATTTCAAACACAGAATCTTACCCAGTTTTGTTTCAGTAGGTTTCACTGATTTGCCTGAGGTCACAAAATAAGTGAAAGTACCACGGCCAGCATCTTTGTCCTCCCAAGCCAGGGCTGTTTCTATTACAACACGCTAAGGAAGGTAAGGCTCTCATTGTAAGCATAAAGTAGGAAGTCATTTAGGCTTATCATTTAACATGTTAGTGAATATCTAAATTACTATGATGAACAAATATCTATAAGGTGTTAAACTTGACAATATTTTCGGGTTTTGTTTGTTTGCTTGCTTACTTGTTTGTTTCAACTCCTTGTCTTTTTATTGTTTGGGGAAAGTGACAACCACTAGCTTCTTGCAGTTATCTAATGAAATACCTAAAGCTGTATAGTTGGCCATTTGTATGTCTTCTTTGGAGAAATATCTATTCAGGTATTTTGCCCATTTTTAAATCAGGTTACAAAGATGCCACCAACACACAGTGTGGAAAGGACAGTCTCTTCATTAAATGGCGTTGGAAAAACTGGATGCCCACAAGCAGGAGGATTAAATTTGACTTTTATCTCACACCATATGCAAAAATCAACTCAAAATATATTAAGGACTTAAAGATAAACCTGAAACTCTAAAACTACTAGAAGAAAACATAGAAGGAATATGCCATGCATAGGTCTGAACAATGATTTATTTTTTGCATATGACTCCAAATTTCAGACAACAAAAGTAAAAGTAGATGATGTGATTACATCAAACTAAAAAGCTTCTATACAACAAAGGAAACAATCAATAGAACAAAGATATAATCTATGAAATGGGAGAAGACATTTGCAAACTGTGTATCTAATAAGGAGTTAACATCCAAAATACATAAGGAGCTCAAACAACACAATAGCTAGAAAATAGACCTTACAATTAACATTCAATTAATGTCACATTCAAATATTTCTCTTTTAAAATGTTACATTAAAAACGGAAGAAAAATATGTAGCCCTCTGTGCAAACAAAAGTCAGTTTGGTATTTTGTTTTGATGAAAATGAAGGGCAGTGCAGGTAGTTCAGCATAAATAACCCGAATTGGTTGTCTCTTTTAGTCTTTGTTTTAATTAGCATTACAAAAGAGAAACATCGCATATATTAGACATAATTTCTAACCTCAGAAATAAAATGTTACCTTAAGTTCCACAGTGAGCGCATGCTGAATTACTGTTTTAGCTCAGGGGAGGATATATTTAGGCTTGTTTGTAAAGCGTAAATTAGAGTAAGTGTTATGGTGTCATAAGTTAGCTGGATTACCTAGAGCAGCTCCTCTCCTTCTGAATAATTAAGATATCTGATTCAAACATATGTGTAGGTTATTAAATGCAACTGTACAAATGTGAGGGTATTTGTATAGATACGCATGTTTAATAAATTCATGGTTCAACTTCTAGACACAAAGGCCTCTTGAGTAAATTTGACCTTTCTGCCCATTCTGGTTGTGATTTAAAAATTAATAATAATAATAATAATAATCTGTAACACTGTGAGCCTAAGGGGAAGGTAATTAGCACTAATTGCATTTATTTTTAAACAGATCTGTTCCTACTAATCAGTGTTGTTTCCACAGGTGCTTATTTTCATGGTGAAGAGGAAGGGATTTATGATGCTTTGATAAGACAAGAGAAGGAAGGGCATGGTTTGGTTCTCATTCTAACATCTGAAGAGCATGGTGTGGTGCTGAGGGAAGGAGGTACTGTTGCTGCATGTTAGGATAGCTATCCTGTAGCAAATGTCATCCTTTGATCAACTTCTCTATGTGCCTTACTGTCTTGCTTTCTTTTTTTTTTTTTTTTCTTTTTTTTGAGACAGAGTTGTGCTCTTGTTGCTCAGGCTGGAGTGCAATGGCACGATCTTGGCTCACTGCAACCTCCACCTCCTGGGTTCAAACAATTCTCCTGCCTCAGTCTCCCGAGTAGGTGGGATTAGAGGCATGCACCACCACGACCAGCTATTTTTTATTTTAAGTAGAGATGGGTTTCACCATGTTGGTCAGGCTGGTCTCGAACTCCCAACCTCAGTTAATCCACCCGCCTTGGCCTCCCAAAGTACTGGGATTACAAGCATGAGCCACCACATCCAGCCTACTGTCTTGCTTTCAAAGTATTATTTTTCTAGTGTCTTTTTATTGTTTAATAACAGATTACAAAGCATCTGGCTAATATAATGTCTCAAAAATTATTGAAAAAGAACCACTTTGGAGAATAAGATCAAAGATATCAAGTCATCTCCTGGTTACGTTATGACCGTTGCAAGATGGAAGCAGATGCAGCTAGAATCAATCAAATGTTTGTATCTGCTCAGCCGCTAGTTCTTATTCTAGGAATAGAATCCTGATTTTGCTTAGGGAACAACTACTTCTCTATCTTTAATCCATGTGGTTTGTGTGAAACTGTGCTTCTTGTCTGACTAATCAGATCCTTCCACCCTCCTGTCCACATTGAATTGGTTGAGAAGTGGGCATGTGAAACTAGTGAGACCAAAGGAACACAATTTCGGACCATTGTTGGAACTGCTGGGCAGATTAACTTATCTTTTGCTAAGATTACGAAACTATGAGAATGCAGATGGTCTCTGTTCAATTTGGGGCCTCATAACTTCAGTATTGAGAGTATAAGAATAGCTGAAAGATATAGAGGTATTAATTCCTGGGACATAGGTGGAGCTTCTGGACTCAGAAAAAAAAAAAGTCATTTTTTTCTCGTGTTTTTATTACAGGTACAATTCTCTTTCTTTCTCCCTCTCTCTCTCTCTGTCTGTCTCTTTCATCTATCTTTCTCTTTTTCCCCCTGATACCTGGAGTCCATAATCCGTACCTCCCCCTCTTGCAAATGCAAAGAACTCAACTCAAAAGTCCTAGTTGACACATCTTCTATGACTACTCCATTGCATATTTTAGAACTTTTTTTTTGCAGACAGAACAATCTAACATGCAAACAGGGAAACATTTAATGCAACATCGAGCATCACACAGACTCTTTGGGAAGGCTGTTTAAGCATTTGCTATAAGCCAAGGTAACAGGAACAACTTTAGATTTAAACTTTCATGGAGGTGCTGTCATCTCTAATAACCATGAGCCTCTATAGCAGTCTGGAAGCTTCCACCAATACCACAAATAAAAGCAAGCTGCCTCTGCCACCAACCTTTATTATGTCTGCTTACTGACTTCAAATTAATGGCTAATACCAGCATGACTGGTATGCAGAGTCTGAATCATACATTGATATTTCAGCTGCAAGAGAATCTGGGAATGTTAAAATATGTATCTTTTCCTCACTGAAAGACATAGCTGGGACTTGAAAACATGTGAAATATGTTCAAAAAGATCTGGGTGAGCATGAATAATCAGTGCTCACTCTGGCTATATAGTCCCTAATATAGATAATTTAGATTTAGCTGAGGAGTACTTGGTATTTATCTCAGTTTCCTTGTGAGAATTGGTACCATCAGTTGATTAAATTTATGAGAGTCCCAAGTTGACCCATTGCCCATCATAGGCTGGATATACAAACAAAAAGGTTCTAGACAGAGAGACAAGGGTCAGCTTTGCCTTCCAGAGGCACATATTCAGTACTCTCATTTCTGACACTCTGGCACACAGATGAGCTTTTTCCTTCAGCAAAATTAAATGCAGAAGAGCAGATGTTGGTATTCATCAGATATGACAGCTGAATATCATCAGTTCTGATAATCATAAGAATAAACAACAAATATAAAGCACAACTGATTGTATTTGGGAGGCGTGTCTTATTTTTCAATGTGGGAGGATACACAAATGTTAAGCTAGACTTTGTAACTTCTCAAGCAATCAACCACAGTACAACTAAGCCTAGGTATCCTGATACGCCAGTACAGGGATTTTTATTCTCACCACTTAGCACTTTATTAAATACATTCTGACATGCTGTGTGCTATTGGAAAGGTGATTTTCCTCCTTTGAAAGCCTCAGTGTTATTATCTGTGATGCTGAGGATGATGATGATGGAGATGATGATAGTGATGGTAATGAGCAATAGGGTGATAATTTATTAAATAAAGGAAATGGCATGCATTATACAGATACTCTGTGTCAGGCACTTATCCAGCCATGACTTCTAAATGTTGGCTCATCTCTATAGCTATTTTTTCTATTTCTCAATATAATTTAATCCTAATAGTAATTTTAACTAGCCTGATATTCCTATTCTCATGTGCATATTGAGACTGCTGGTCATAAAGAAGTGATATTCAACCACTGCACCAGCTCAGTATGGCTCTTAAACTGGACTGAAACAATGCCACCCCTACAGTACTAACTCACTCACAGATGAAGATTTTTCTTCCTCCTCCCCCTGTGACCAATAGCCAAAGACATATTTTGGGATGTATTAGTGCACTGGGACCTTACTCAGTCTATAGATGACCAAGTTCACATAGGCAAACCTCTTTTCAAAAATCCCAAGGTAGGACTGTTTTTGCTGTATTGGAGATGACAGTAGAGATGCTGATTGCTGAGGTCACGTGTCACCGTTCTAAAGAACAGTTTGCTATGATTGTTTGGGAATAGCTGAACCATCTGTGGAATTAGATTTAGTTCCAATTCCTGTTAAAACATTGCTGAGATTTTCCTAGTTGTCCCTACACACATGGTAAATTCATATCCATTAACGTCTCTGGAGATTTTAATTTTTTTTCCTTTATAATCTTTTTTCCTCTCTAGCTACCCATTCACATCCTCATCCCTCACCCTGGGGTAGGAGGGTAGGAGTTAGGTTGTTAGTCTAAAAATGTGATAAATTCTTCAAATTCTTATTAAACTCCTTATTAAATTCATTTTTTTCCTACTAAAAATAACTATCTTCTTTTTTAGTCTCAGAGCCAAAAGCATAATCTCCCCAATAGGCTAAGCTTTGGAAAACCAAAGACAGCTGACTTGAAGAGCTTCCTGCTTTCCTTCTTGTCCCATTCCTCCCACAAGCCATAAATAGAGAACTATTCTTGTACCTAGATCGTGGAAAAAGAAAAGAGGAAATGACGAATATTTTCTTTCTTTTTCTATATAAAATATCTCAAAACTATTTTCTTGACATACACAGATGAAGACTCTAAGGCTTAAAGGAGGTTAATTAATCAGTTCAAGGTCACAAAATCTGCTAGAGATAGAACTTGTATTATAACCCAATTGTGATTCCAAAATTTATATATTTAATTCATGTGATTAAATATTTACTTTTACCTATCTCATACTGGAAACTAAGCCAAGCCCACTGAATGTACTGGATGCAATATTCTAGATATCAAAATCTAAGGTTTCACTTGAACTAAAGAGCTTGTTGTATATGGCTTAAGAACTCCCTGGCTAAACTATAAATAGGTTACATAGTTCTGTTGCTTCCAGTAAATACATTATGCAATCTCCTTATAATGTTTTAGAATCTTTCTAAATGTTTTACACAGTGAGAGGTGATAAGATATTTTATTAGGAATATAGTGTTTGGTAAATTTAATATGGACTATTATTCTCTACTACACGAAGAAGTTGTCTTCTTAACAGCCTTCCTGAGATTGTCTTCATCCATTCATCCCATATATATCTTAAAAAGTAAAAAAGGTGGGGAGATGGAAAGGAAAGTGGGAAGTAACATTTTGTGTACATCTTTTATGATATTATGTTTATGATAAAATAATATTCTATAGAAAAGGATGTACTACAAATCTGACTGGAAATGCTCTCTCAAATAGAAAGAAAACAACCATATGACTTACAAAGTACGATTCAGGGCAATAAAAATGAGGAAAAAATTAAAAATGGCAACAGATAGAGAATCCCCAAATGCCGTATTTGGAAATTTGACAATGATTTCTTTCCTCTTTCTTTTCTAGAAGGCTCTGAAGAATGCATAGAGGCTGTTACATAGGTAACGTATTTACCAGTAGATTCTAGAAATTCTGGAGAATGTGCTTTAGCTGAGACTGTCAGCCATAGAATATGCCTGAGCCTCTGAACCATGGGTGTTTGGGGAGTTATGGCTTCCATGTGGCATTTGACTGCCACAGAGAGTTATGATTTTCAGACTAGTTACTATATAACTTTATTTAACCATTCTCTACTTTCTTTAATTATATTTATTTTCAGTAAATATATTTCTTTTCAGTAAATATTTTCATCTCTAGCATTTTCAACACCGTCAGTTCATTTGTATCATAGAAGTCATGATGAGAATTATTTGTTTCTTAAAAGTCTGCTTTTAACAAAGGCCTTTGTCCACAGTTTTCCACTCTCATTTATTTATCCTCGCATCTTTAGATTTACCCAAAAGCTTTTATGCCTGCTTCTTAACTGTGCTCCCTTCTATAACTCACTCATTTTCCATCTGACTCAATTCCTCACATTCCCTAGAGTTTATCATCACCTATAGCTCTGGGAAGCAGACTTTACTTTTGGCAGAGTCCTTGCCAACCTGGCTAGTCCACTCTCTCAAGGAGACAGAAATTCAAATATCTGAGAATAAGATAGGACTGTCTATCTTTCATGTTTGATCTCCACATGAGCACTGTTAAAAAAAAAGACTGTTCTTGCCCTTTCAAAATTACAGAAAATGGAATGCTCACATATGACGTATATATACAGGAGACACGAGACCATGGAACTTAGGTGTATTATCTCATTTTGTGTTCAAATGAACCTATGAGATAGATGTACTGTATTAGTTTTTCAGTTGAGCAGCCTGTTGATGATAAAACCTGCAAAATGTGACCAACTGATTCAAGTTTCTCTGGTGTTAAGCCTCTTTAGCTCAAGATCAGCTAGTCTTTCATATTTAAGTATTATGTTTTTTTTAAAAAAGGGGGACACAAAATATGCACATTTGTGGGTGAAAAGAAAAAATAGTACTTTGGGTTTTATTAAAAGAAAATAGAATGCTAGAAACAAACTAATCATGCCATTTTTTATAAAAGTAATTAATCTTAAATATTGTTTTCATTACATTCTTTCTTCATTATTTTATTTAAGACCTGAGCGAAACACCACCTGCCTCAATACATTTTTTTCCCTGATGTTCTGCCTTCTGACATTAACCCTATGTTACTTAGTGAAAACTTAACATATGCAACTCTAAAGTTTGTTTCTCCTCTTATGAATCCATTGTCTACAATTAAGCTATAATAAATGGGAGGGCTGGCACCAGACATTATTTATTATTGAACTCTAACACCTTTCCCTATGGCAACTCAAAACAAATGTTGTTAATCTGATAACTAAATTTAATTGATACTCACAGTGAATGAATTTTGACCATTTTATTACCTAATTACATTTGATTTTCACCATCATTATTTAAAAACAGAAAAAAGATTTCAATCTCATTTAGTGATTTGGATTAATATTCATAGCATTAATTATACAGATGTATGTCAACTTAAAAGGAAACTAAAACAACAACAAAAAACACAATATTTATTGGACACTTACTACATGGTCAGCACTCTCTTAGAACAAATTACCTTAGTTAAATCTCGTAGCTACCCTATGAGTTAGGTACTTTAATTATCCACATTTTAAGGATAAGGAAACTAAAGTAATTGAGGGGTAGAAGAAGGATTCAGCCCATTAGAGATGAGTACTAAAGGCAGGATGATTACTGAGCCCGTTTTCTTAAACACTACCATATTATTTCCATTCATAGTCTGGATTTGAACCAGTTATTTATGTTTAAAATCAAGTGTACTTTTCCTTATGTGAAAAAAAACTTCCTAATAACAATTCCATAAATGGTGAGTTCAGTCAGCCATTTATCTAATACGTTTTAGGCAATGTTTGAAATGCTAGTTACATACCAGTGAATAAAAATAAGACAAAGACTCTGATATCATAGAGTTAACATTATAGTGTTATAGGCAGAAAATAAACAAGATACACTAAAATATACTAAACTAAACCACAAAGAGGGCTTTGCCATTACATTCAAAAAGTGATAGTCTTACTTGTACTACATCTTCAGAAAATTTAAAAACAAAATCTTGAAAAGGAAAGGTAAAAATTATAAAAACTCATGATGACTTAGTCTAACCTATGATTCCCATTTTCTGAGCAGAGCCCATTTCCTAGGGATTTGAGAAGCTTAGCTCAGGTTTGCAGTCCTGAATGTGAAAAAAAGCTGCAGAAGGACAGTTCTCTCTCTCCAAGTCACATTAAACCCATAGGCTTTGACAAGTTCACTTTTTGCTTCAGAAAAATTATCGTCACCTCTGTGCTATAGAATGATTTTTTCAAATAGATTTTTACAGAAATTCCAAAGCCTCAGTACTATGACTTTTGATGTATGTTGTGTGGACAATCATGCTTCTTCTTGACTGTACTCTCTCATAAATAAAATTGTGTGTTAGTGAGTTAGTACACACACACATACACACACAAAATCTTCCTTTTTACCACTGTCTATAATGCCTCATATCTTTTATATTAATGCCTCATCATTTTCTTTTTTTCTACAAACATAAACAATTTCAGAGTTATAATCATTAGTGGCTAAGACTGTTCCACTGAATTTGAACTCAAGTGTTCAGCTTTCGGTGTGGTAACAAGCCATATAGTGTGAGAAAAACACAGATTGCCACCTCGTGATTTTTTTTAATAGATTTCCAATCACCAATCAAGGAACGATTTGAAATATTTAATATTTATAGGCCAACTTTCAAAATGGTGTTTAACATGGATGAGCATCATTTGCAAATGAAATCAAAATCTAACGTATGTTCCAGTCTTTTTGACAGGAAGCATGTCGCTAAGATCTCCACTTCCTTTTTCTGTTGTGCCTGCTTTCTAACGCGCATGCCACTGGTTTACCCTCCAGCTCGCCCATCACATTGCTATTCAGAAGGTGAACTGCACCAGTGACTTCACTTGGAAGTAAGACCAGATGTTCCAGTTGCTCCTGGGCAAGAATGAATTAACATTTTAAGTACTCGGCAGTGGAAATGTTCAAATATCATCTGTAGTCTCTGATTTGTAGCTTAATGGATGTCATAAACTTATGATGAACGGGAAAACTATAAAGCATTTGAAAGAAACAGACTGACAAAAGTTGGCAAGCTAAGAGGGATTTTTGTCAGCCTGAGGACACCACTGAAATGAACAGTTTGATGTTGCTGTTTTTTCACATCTTGCATATTGTATTGGTTGTAACTCCCAGAGAGAAGCATTTGTTAATGCCTCTCTGTGTTCACTAGAATGTGACAATACCTACTAGAGTGGTGAATCCCTCGTCTAGCCAAGAAACTGTCTTGATTTTGGGTAACTTAAGTGGCCAGCTCTGTTTGCTGACATATTGAGTTCACTTAACAATTGATATATTGTTACATGAAGTACCTGTTAAGCACAATAGCTGAAAATCCAAAGACAATTGCAATGTTCTCCTAAAGAAAATGTACAGACATTTACAGCACGTTCAATTCATTATTATTATGTTGCCTATACACAGTCTCTGGACATTTCAAATTGTGGGTAACAAACCAGATTTTTTTTTCTTCTAGACATTTTGGTACCATATGTATTGGGTACTATGTCCATTTTTTAAAAAATTATAATTCATTATACATTTTCTGATCTATCCATTGAACTAAGGATTTGAAACTAATCTCTTCCATTATCATATGTTCCTTCTTGAAAGTAAAAAGAACCCAGGAGGACAGAGGCAAAGGAAATATGAGAAAATACTGTGATGGCTATTGCTTCGTAGTCAAATTGTGAGAGCAAAAAGTTTGACTTCATGAAATGTGTGAAATGTATTATGGAAATCAATCTAAGTGTGGATATGTATGTGTATTTATCAAGTATATAGGATGTGACATTTGAGACTCTCTGATCTATCTCCTTTCTGTCTTCACAGCTAAACCAGTCACTTATTAACTTGTAGTTAAGGCTGAGCACATGGATTCCTCCCTTTTTTGGTCTATATTGGTTCCAGTAACTAGGTTTTGGCTTTTAGAAGCGATCTGGAATTCCAGTCCTTCCACATCCCACATCTAGTAAGTACCTGAACTAGAACATAGTCTTCCAACACACATTCCAGCTAACTTCATATTTGATCATACCACTTTTAGATTTAATGAAATATAATTTTATTACCAGATTACAATTATTGAGACATGACCTTAAGGACTATCCACGCCAAAATTATTTGGGAAGAAATGCAAAATATTGAGAAAACAGAATCTCTGAATTGCTAGGTGAAAAACAGTCACTCATTTGCACAATTTGTTGTCATGTTCACAGTAAACAAAGAAAGGTATCATTGAAAGACAATATCAGAATTTGCAAGCTAATGATTTATGTTTCTCTCTCTTTTATGTCCCTTTGATCTTTGATTTTATCAGTTGCTCTACTTTAAATTAAACTGGAGTAACAGCAAGCAAAATAAGTGATTGAAAATGGTAAGCACTTGCCCTCATACTTCTGAAGTAAGACTAGAGGCCACTTGCTCCCCTGAGCCAGTCATAGAAATGCTCATTCCAGTAATGCTTTCAAATTGGCACTTGTTATTGGCATCAACTTGAGGTAAACTTTTACTTTAAAAATTTTTTTTAATGTAGTAAAGTAGTAAAGAAAAAACATGTAGTTAGGCTAAAATTAATGTATTATTTATTAGATTAAATTTAATTCCATATTTGTTCTGAGTAGTGTCAGAACCCGAATGATTAAAAATTACTGACAGATGGGGCCAAGATAACTGATGAGAAGCTGCTAGCGTGCCCTTCTCTCAGAGAGAGAAGAAAGAATGGCTGGAGCAAACACTAGCTCTTCAACTGCAACATCCAGGTGGACACATTGGGATTCATCAAGGAAACAGCATAACCCACGGAGAACTGAGAAGAACAAAACAGGACAATGGCCCACACAGGAGTGGCACAGAGCAAAGGGAGGTCCCTCCCCACGGGGATGCGGTGGGTGAGTGTTTCCCGTAGATCCACACTTCTGCCACAGACCTTTGAATCCCTGGGCTCAGAAGATCCTCTGTGAACCTCCCAACCTAGGCCTGCAGACCCGCATGAAGAATTGCGTGGAGTCTAGGAAGAGCTGCCACTCAGGCACACATGGAATCCCGGGAACCTCTGATTCACGGGGTACCCCAGCATCAGCAGCTGCAGCTTCAGCAACAGCGGAGGCCAGACTCCCTTGCACACCCCCAGGAAAGGGGTCAAATCCATGTGGGTGAGCAGTAAGGGAATGCAGGTCTCACCTCCACTGCACCTCGCAGGATAAGGCCCGCTGGCCTGGGATGCTAGGAAGACCACTCCAACCCCGCCTGAGTTCTCGGACTAAGAGCATCTCTGCACTTCCCTGGAATGGAGCTCCCAGAGTGAGAGGCGGGCTGCCTTTTTTGCTGGTCCGCGACCCTCTCTCTTGCTGCTTCAGGCTTGGGAGGGTGTGCAGTGATTAGGGGCTAATGCAGACCGACGGCACAGCACTACTACCTTAGGGAAAAGTGGCCAGACTGTTTTTTTCTGCGCGGCTTCCTGTCCCGCTACTACTCTCTGGGCAGGGTCTCCCGACCTGGGACTCCAGCGACCCACCCCGGTGGCTCTTGGGTCAGTAGAATCTCTCCACTTCCCTGGACAGAGCTCCAAGAGGGAGCAGCCAGGCCACCAATTTGCCGCACTGCAGCACTTGCTTCTGTTGCCCTCAGGCTCAGCAGGGAGCGCGGTGGCTGAGAACTGACCTGGAGCCACAGCCCAGTGCAGCAGCGTTATGGAAAAATGGCCAGTCTGTTTTCCACGTGGGTCCTCACCTCCACTACTCCAAACGAGGCAGTACCTCTCGACCTGGGCCTCCAGGACAACGATCCTGCCCCTGCCTGAACACTTCAGTCAGTAGCAGCTGTGCATTTCTGTGAAGAGGAAATCCCAGAGACAACTCACGGCTCCTCTGACATTGCAGCTGCACTTGTACTGCGCTTACTGTCCTTGCACATTTGATGATGAAAAAGTGCATGCTGTTTGGATAAGCAAAGTCTACATTCTACAAACATGACTCCATAATTTCTCATATGGAGTTTAGTTCATGAATTACATTTGCATTTTATGAAATAATAGTTATATCTAAACAGATAACATCATAATAGCCGAAACATATACATATAAAGACACATAGAACATTTTCTGGCAAATGTATTCTGTTTTTACTGAATGAATGCTCACAATAACCCAAGTGGCTTGTTAGCAATGGTTAAATAATATGCCCAAATTCACACAACCGGAAAGTGGTAAAGCTAGAATCTGAATCAAAGTCCTATAACTTTAAAGTCCACATTTTTAGCCACTACAGTGTAATATGATACACTGGTATATATGAACATACTCCACATGGAAAGACAATGAGGATGCTTCCAAAGAAACACCGATATGACATGAAGTTGTTCCTATGAAACCTAAGAGAATATCAAATGCTAGTGCCAGATAAGAAACAGAAATTAATGGATCAGAGTGGGGACAGAGATCACGTATATCCTGTCTAACGAGACTAGATGCACTTCAAAGGCAGCAATACCGGCCCACTGTTGACAGTGTTTGTTTATGTTTGTGAGATGCCAAAAATCCAAAATTGTGTAAGTTTTCTGTTTTTTAATATTGGTTACTGATATGGTATGGATCTGTGTCCCCACTCAAATCTCATGTTGAAATGTAATCCCTGGTGTTGGAGATAGGGCCTGGTGGGAGGGAGACTGGATCGTGGGGGCAGATTTTTCTCACGAATGGTTTAGCACCGTCCTCTTGGCACTGTTCTCACGATGATGAGTTCTTGTGCAATCTGGTTGTTTAAAAATGTGTGGCAGTTCTCCCTTCATTCTCTTGGTCCCCGCTCTGGCCATGTGACAGATTATAAGTTTCTTGAGGGCTCCCCAAAAGCCGAGTGGATGCCTCCATGCTTCCTGCACTGCCTGCGGAAACATAAGCCAATTAAACCTCTTTTCTCTATAAATTACCCAGTTTCAGGTGTTTCCTTATAGCAGTGAGAGAACTGATTAATACAGGTAAAAGGTAAAAATAGTTTAAAGACTGTGTGGGCCAAAACAAACAAAAAACAACAATCCATAGGTAGATAAGTTTTAGCCACAGACTTCTAATTGAGCAGCCTCTAATCAGTTGCTGACTGATTGATCTATACACTTGATTCAAATGGCACCTGTACTAGACATGCAGGCATAATTGAGACCTGAGCGCATTTCTTTATTAACAATACCATAAAGCGAGATACTAGGGAGTTCAAATCTGTAGTCATTGGAATTAATTGTGTAACCCTGGAGAATACTCTCATTTTCTCAATCTTTGATCATTATAGAAATGTTTAGGGGGAGAGGTAAATGTTTAAAAGTAGCTCGAGAGTCCTTAGAGTCCAAGCCTAACACTTTTTTCTTTTTCCTTTTTCTTTTGTTTGTTTTAATTTCTCTATTTTCCTATTATTTTAAATTAAAATGTGATTGTAGGAGGGCTTCAGATTTCTTCAAACTCCTATATTATTTGTTATTATATACCCAGAAGAAGAATGAAAGAACCTAGAATTTTTAGCCTTTACTTTCCAGTTGAAAGATGGTCAAGATTTTCCAAAACTGTACTATTTCTTAGATCACAGCTACCTGAAAGTGTGGCTGAATTCACAAAACGTTGTGCTTAAATGATTTTAGAGCTTCTGAAAACTTGCTTCTCTATTCTTGCTTTTGAGAATTCATCAAAGCTTTTGAACATTTACAATGGCCATATGACTTTAGAAGACATTAATGCCCTTGAATTCTATAATTTCACTCCCACAAAGAATTTGTCTCCAGGAAGAAAATGGCTTTATGGCTTGATAATGTGACAGTGAGTACAATAATAAAACAATAAAATAGATAAAGAAACAGAAGTTCTTTGAGTTTTAGAAAATACTTACAGTGGATGTACCTAAAGTCGTAGAAGAAAATCTCTAGATCCACTATTCCATTAATGAAAAAGCGTTACTTATGATTTGTGTGAAAGCGTCTATGACATAAATTTTTCTGAGGTTTCTATGAACATGCTGTAGAGCTTTATGAAATCCAGCCATCTTTATAGGTGGTGTTAAATTTAGTGTTACCAAAATTTGAGATACAAGAAAAAATATTGGTTGGGGACATAGAGAACTTCTAAATCAGCCCAATCTATTTTAATATCAAAACTAGAAACCTACTGAAGCTTGCTCAATTCTACATGTGAGAATATAGTTTCAATAATGTTTTATAGCTTTAGAAACAGAAATACAACCAGGCTTTATGGGAGCCAGAACCAGAAAGCTGGTGAGTACACTTTCTGCATTTCCTTGTACCTCAGGCATAGTCTAGCATCATCTTTCTCATTTGTGACTCTCTGCTCTTACGTGGCATACATCTGTCACTGTTGAGCTAGTTTATCTGTGTTCAGATTCTCCTTCACATAGTCCAGTGCAAAATACATTCTTTGTTCTATTTCAACAAATTTCTGTTTTTTTTGTCTCTAGGTTCTGATCCTGGGAAAATGTTTGTAAGCTCAATTTTAATTCTCAAATCAGAGAATCAGAATTACTTAACCCAATCTCCTGAATTTTTTCATATGTCAAATGGTGGGAGAGGGGGTAATTTGAAAGTGATCTTCCAGCTCTAAGAACTTTTTAGTTTGTTTTTAATATCCACCTGACAATGCTGTTGCAATGAAATAAGTCCATGTCAAATTCTATTGGCATGTTCCCATTTTTAAACAGGGTTTATATATGTTGATTCTGCTTTGCGATGTGATTTGTTTATTATTGTTATATATAGTGAAGCATACACACACACATATATATAAATAGTGTGTGTACATACACATAAACACATATATATAAATAGTGTGTGTACATACACACAAACACATATACACATACATACATGTATACCTATCTACCATTTTTATTTTTATTTAGTTAAAACATCTTCATTAAAGTTTTTGTTGGAAACCCAGTATTCTGTGCAGGAAATGTAATTTTGGAAGTTGCCTAAGACAGTAGTCTAAAATAATTCCAGCTATTCATTTATAAATCACCAGTGTTTTTATTCAAAATAGACATAGATTACCCTGAAAAGAGATGTTCTGAAAGAGGAACCACAAAATGAATGTTTCTCAATAAAAGTATAAATTCCTCAGTCAGTCTTCATGAATAGGTGAAGAGAAAGCTCAGAGACCTAAGGGAGATCAACGCCCTGTGCGTAGGTACAAGCACTTTCCCTTGATAGATCTACATTTTTACAAGTTACTTCTCTAGGCACACATTTCCCCTTTTAAAAAGAAAGTGGTTAAAAAATGTATCTCATAGGGAATTTCAAGTTCAAAGTAATCTATGCTTCTGTGTTTGACAATCTTGCCTTCCACCATATTCCAGCATAAAAATTTTATCCATTTGAGTCTATAGATTTTTCTAAGTCATTAACATTCGTGGTGGAATAGAAATGAGAATATGAATATACAAATTTGTGAATATATAATATCCTGCATTTAAAAAATTTATTCCACCAAATCTACTTTTGCCTTTTACTAACCCCACTTCATGCCTCAGCATCTCTATGGACTGTGCCAACTGAGCTTCCTCACCCTCTAGTTTCAGCTGGGTTTGGCCCATGGTAGGCACAAGCAGGAGACTGGAGAGTGGGAAAAGAGGAAATGTACTCTCCTTTTCTGCTGAGCTGCACTTTGGTAATGTTATCTTCTATCAAAAGACACAGGTCCTGCCAAGCAGCTCTCTCGCCAAGGTTTAAATGTAGAATGTGTGGATAAGCCCAATAAATAATCTTATTCAAATGTGTTGATGCATATGTAAATTCAACAGGTCCCCAGTAAAAAAGTGATGCCTTACAAAAACATGATTGAAGGGAGTTTAATAAACCATCTGCTTCTTCTAGGACTAATACACCCATGTGCCATGTAATGTCAAATAAGTATTACGTGTTTCTTGTGCATATCTCCACATCCTCCGTTTAAACCTTGGTCAGAGTTGACCGGACAGACTGACTTGGTAAGGATGTAAGATAATAGACACTATTTGTGGAAAAATAAATGTTTACAATCCCTTTTGTGGTCAATTTGGCAGTACCTATTCAAAATTTAAAAATACAAATAACTTTTGTTATCAAACACATTTTTAGGAGTATACTATGGAGGTATACAAATGTATTTATATGATTTTTCACGTATTTGTAAGTAAAAAAAAAAAAAAAATTTTCACTACATTGTTAATAAGAGCAAAAGACCAAAAATAAGCTACAGATCCATTTCTAGGAGAATGATTAAATAAATTAGAAAATGTTATTTGGATAGACTCCATTTTATTTATGAAAAAATAAAGTATATACAATATGTTTAAAGGGGAAAAATTAAGTATTCTATGCATGGACTGTGATTTTAAAAACTAGTGGTTAGACCTAGTAAGAAATAGTTGGGTTCTATTTGGGGAAATAGTCTTAGTTTTCATAGAATATGCTTTTGCTCTCTTTTTAAAAACATTGGCAAATTATAATTGTATACATTTATTGAATATAGTATGAAGTTTTGATATATGTATACAAGGTGTTAGGATTAAATCAAGATAATTAACATTTCCATCATCTCCCTTGCCTATCATTTTTTTAAACAGTGAGATATCTGAATTTGCTCTCCGTTATTTTGAAATATATGGTACATTATTATTTACTATAATCAACCTGGTGTTATCTTTTAAGTGTTTATTTTGTGAAAATTTTACTCTTGCTATTTCTTCATAAATTCTGAAGAAGTAAACTAGAAAACAATTCATAAGTAGGTTTTGTAGTGTGCAGTGGGACTTTCAAACACAAACAAAGCTAGTTTGACATTGGAGATAATGGGTGTTTAGCTAAGCCCCATGAGTAGCAAAGTGAATTCTGTTCACCAACCACATAGCAACTTATAAATGTACGGAGGCATCAATTTGAATAAAATTAACTTGATATCATACTTATTTCTAGTCACTTCCAAAAGTAGGCACGGTGATTGTTAAATGTATGAATGTTAATGTTGTAATTTGAACAAACATTTATTAAAACACTCTGGGCACACGGAGTACATACTTATTTCTAATATCAATAATTTGGCAATGTTTTGTGCAAGCGCAATGTTCTTCTTGAGAGCCTATTCAAATACTACTCATACTATGACTCAGACTTCAATTACCCATTGAAATGTCATCTTTGCTAAAATTTTGTCTTTACCCTTTAGTCTGCAAAAACAGTAACTACACTTACTGACCACAAAGTCCATGTTACGTGTTCAACAATTGCTTCTAGAATGCATGCATCTGAAATTTCGCAGTAGTTATAAATGCTCACATTCATTTTATTCCCAATTCATTCATTACCTAGTGCTATGACGTGATCATTCTTTTAATGTGCATTACTACAGGTTTAACAAAAGCCTGTGAGCTCTTATACTTACAAACTAATAATGCTGGAAACTCTGAGAATATAAATAAATATAAGATACATTTCACAGTCTAGCATTTATGTCCTGCATGAAAGGATATAAGAAAAATAAAATCAAACTGTGACGTGCTATCAAGAGAGTTTATGAGTTACTTATTGCTTTTACTCCTTTAGTGCCTGGCATCAGATTACTCTTATTAAATAAAAATAAATATTAATTAGCTAAAATCCTCTACAGTTTCTTAGTGAACCTTTAATTTTATAATAGTTTCAGATTTACATAAAAACTGTAATGATTGCAAAAATTTGCTTATACCTCATATCCAGTTCCTTTGACTGTTAATCTCCATTATTACCGGTAAATTTGTCACTATCAATTGACCTATATTGATACATTATTATCAATTAAAGTCCACAATTTATTCGTATGTCAATAGGTTTTAACTTATTTTTTTTTCTTTTCCAGGATCCCATCCAAAATACTACATTGGATTTAGATGTCAGGTCTTCTTGGGCTTCCCTTAGCTGTGATAGCTTTTCAGACTTAATCTTGTTTTTGATAACCTTGATAGTTTTGACAACTGGTGAGATATTTTGTACAGCGTCCTTCAATTGAGACCTCGTTTATTTCTTATTACTTGACTGGAGTTTAGGTTTTGGGAAGAAGACCGCAGTGGTAAAGTATCATTCTGATTATGTCACATAAAGTGCCCATACTAACAGCAATACTTATCACTGTTGATGTTAGCATTGATCCACCTGGCTGATGTCGTATTTGGCAAATTTCTCCAATGTGTTACCATTGCCCCTCACATTAGCATGATATACTTTTGGAAGAAAGAAACTATGCATAGTCAACATTGAGATAGTGGGAATTATGCTCCACTTCCTTGAGGGTAAAGTACCAGCATACATTATTTTGAATACTTCTGCATAGAAGGCTTTTCTTCCCTATTTATTTTTTATTCTATTTTTTAAATGACAATATAGATTCATGAATATGTATGCTATACTTTGAGTTAAAATATAATACTTTGTTTATTTTGTTGCTCAGATTATTCTAGCTTTGGACATTGAAAATTCTATTAGTTGGTTTTTATGTCCCTTTGACATGCTTCCATCATTCTGTGTGCTTGCATGTGTGTGTGTGCATGTGTGTGTATGTTTTGTACACTTTCTTTATTGGGGGGCACTACAATATGCTCCAGGTTTATTTTCTATATTTTCTGTATCAATTCTAGAATCGGTCAATTTTTCAAAAAGTGCTAGGTCCTGGTTTTGGAAATGGTATTACACACTAATATCTACGTGCTTTGTGTGCTCATTGCTACTGAGATGTTGTTGCTTCTGCAATCTTTCAGCTGACAGAGCAAGGGGAGACATGTATATATACTAACCCATACACACATTCGTACTAATGAATATTTTCCTCTTCTATCGTAAGCTAAACATAAGTTCATAATGTTGTTTCCAACTCTAACCCATTCCTACATGGGTCATTCTAGCTTGCTTCCCTTGTTTATGTTTATGTTCCCACTCCAACACTTGCAAACCTGGCTCCCACCATCCACCATTCATTTACTTAATTGTTTAATTCTAGTATACATGTATAGTAGTTTCAGAAGCATGAACTCATACCACCATGAGTAGATAGCAAAATAACTCTTTGTCCATTAGCGTAAAGTGCTTATGTGCAGATCCGTTTTGCCTTTAATCCTACAGACTCCATTTACCTCCAAAGTCATTTTGGTCTCTGTCCTTTCCTGCACCCTTTCAACATGGCTGTTCCCTACACATCTATTGAAGTTTAATTCCTTTGTCATATTCAGCATTTTATCCTGAGATCTCCCACCCTCCTAAAAAATGTCCGTTTTAATTTGCAAGTATTGGGACTTACTCTTTTACCATACACTTCTATGAATTTTTACAAATATAGTGTTCTGTATCTCTATTACAGCATCATACCAAATAGTTTCACCATTCTAAAAAAAAAAAAAGTCCTCTATGCTTGTACTCTGTAACCCTTCCTCCTTCTTAATCTCTTGGCAGCCACTGATCAGTTTACCTTCTCCATGGTTTTGCATCTCTCAGAATACCATATGAATGCTACCACACAGTGCGTACTTTTCAGACTTGCTTTTTGCACTTATTATTGTGCATTAAATAGTCAATCCATGTCTCTGCCTGGAATCATAGTTCATTCCTTGTTATCGCTGAATACATTCTTGCACATTTTTTGTAGTCATTGTTTTACCATTTTTTCTTCTTTTTATCCTTAAGATAAACCTTGAACTTGAATAAATCTTGGTATTTTATTGTATTTCACTTCCTAATACCAGTGAAGGACATAAAAAGTGCTGTACTATAAAATTGTCATCTTAAATGGTTACTTATTTGGCTACAAGTGCACTTTAAATTCCAAATTCTGCCTTCACAGGTGGCTGTTCTAATCTAATCCTTTCATCTTATCCCCCATTTGGTGTTGTACTGATGGTAATTACCTTTTTTATTGTCTGTCAGTCAGTTTTATGTAGACGGACGATAGTAGTTTCAATCAGACAGAATCCTTCTAATTTCTCTGTTAAATTTCCTTACAGAACTTTTCTGAATGGTTTACCAAACCCTAAATAAACTATGCCTTCTGAATTGTTTTCCAGCTATAACAAGAGTTAAGGAAGGCTATCAGCTGTGTCTGACATGCTCACGTTTTATTATGAAGGACTATATGTCAGCCAGCAGACACTTTGTCTCTGAAAGAGGCCTTGAGTACCTTCACTGATTTGACTATGTATGTTGATGGATTCTTAGTCAGAGGATATTTTTTTGAAGTGTGTCACCCTCCTCTAAGGAAACAGCATAGAAAGAAAATACAACAGGAAGTCTAGACTTGGCCCAGTTCAGTTTGTGGAAGTGATTGACTTTGGCAGATGTGGGCCGTTAAGAGAACAAGACAGTTAAGAGGGCAAGACTAGAATTTGAAATTCTAGTCACAGTTCTGGCTCTAAATATTATTCAGATATAAGTGATTCTGTTCTTTCTCTTCTCTTTACCATGAAAAAGGTTTTGGCTTTACCCATCTGCACTGCTTATCTCCAACCCCACTTTCTGTATTTTGCCAGCTGTGCCATATGGATATTCTTGATAGAAAATCTGGAGAAGATGGAGGAAGGGAAGGAGTATGAAGGCTGGATAAGGTGTATAGAAACATGTGCTGCCATGGTGAGGGAGGAAAGTGATTCAGAGAAAATTGTGATTTTTCAAAGAAGAGGTGCTACATCATGCTCAATAAATAGAAGTAAAACCCTTGTGCTAATTTGAAATTATTTTTGGCTTCTTGACTGGGTTTTCTGGAATGTGACACTGCCCTAAGATTGGATCGAGTGGTTAACAGCTTCAAGGACGCTATGCGTCTCTAGGGCTCATTTAATGATCACACTCACAAACATAACAGTAGTATCAACAAATCCAGCTACAGCCCAAGATAACATAAGTCAGTGTCAAATGCGGGTATAAAATGAAATCAGAAATCTGAGCTAAGATGCTGAGTGACTTAGTTTAGAAAAAAAAGAGAAAGAGCAGAATTAAGAATTCCAGGCTGGGCGTGGTGGCTCACCCCTGTAATCTCAGCACTTTGAGATGCCAAGGTGGGTGGATCACGAGGTCAAGAGATCGAGATCATCCTTGCCAACATGGTGAAACCCTGTCTCTACTAAAAATACAATAATCAGCTGGGTGTGGTGGTGCACACCTGTAACCCCAGCTACTCAGAAGGCTGAGGCAGGAGAATTGGTTGAACCCAGGAAGTGGAGGTTGCAATGAGGTGAGATAATGCCACTCCAGCCTGGTGACAAAGCGAGACTCTGTTTCAGAAAAAAAAAAATCCAGAACTAGAACACTTCAGTTTGGAAACCTGAAGGCTCCCACAAAAGCCCTTCTGAACTTTGCCCACTCTGTTGCTATTTTGCTGTAATTTTCTTTTGGTTCGGGCTCACCCTCCTCTAAGGAAAGAGCATAGAAAGAGAATACAACAGGAAGTCTAGATTTGGCCCAGTTCAGTTTGTGGAGGTGATTGACTTTGGCAGAGGTGGACAGTTAAGAGAACAAGATAGTTAATAGGGCAAGACTAGAATTTGAAATTCTAGTCACAGTTCTGGCTCTAAAGAGTCCTGCAGTCTTGGACTTTTCACCTAACCTCGATCCTCAGTTTTCTCATCTGTAGAATGAGTTCAGACAAAGTGATCTCTGTGTTTCTTGAAAACTAGCATTCTGTGGCTATCCTTTAAGCATTTTGAAGTGGCCAGTACAGAATCAGAAACAAAAGGATTCGACTTCCAGCACCACTTTCTCTGTTTACTTGGAGTTAGCTAACAACAGCCTCCAACAGGAATCAGCAAACTACTACCCATGAATCAAATCTGGCTGCCTACCTCTTTTTATAAATAAAACTTTGTTGCAACACAGCCACACCTATTCTTTTACATATTGTCTGTGGCTGCTTTTGAGCTACGATGTCAGCAAGTAGTAGCTACAATAGCAGAGATGATAGAATATAGCCTACAAAGCCAAAAATATTAGTCAGGGTTCTCTAGGGGGACAGAACTAATAGGATATATGTATACATGAAAGGGAGTTTATTAAGAAGAATTGACTCACACAGTCACAAGGCGAAGTTTATTTATTCCACGATAGGCTATCTGCAAGTTGAGAAGCAAGGAAGCCAGTAGTGGCTCAGTCTGAGCCTCAAAGCCTCAGAAAATAGGGAAGCTGACAATACAGACTTCAGTCTGTGGCCAAAGGCCCGAGAGCCCCTGGTAAACTACTGGTGTAAGTTCCAAAAGCTAAAGAACTTGGATTCTGATGTTCAAGGGCAGGAAGCAGATGAAGGCCAGAAGACTTAACAAGTCAGCTTCTTCCACCTTCTTCCACCTGCTTTTTCTAGCCACGCTGGCAGCCAATTGGATGGTGCCCTCCCACATTGTGGGTGGGTCTTTTTGAGGATAGGTCTTCCTTTCCCAGTCCACTGACTCAAATGTTAATCTCTTCTTGGCAACACTCAGAAACACCCACATACACCCAGAAACAATACTTTGCATCCTTCAATCCAATCAAGTTGACACTTAATATTAACCATCACACATGCCTTTAACAGAAAAAAGTTTGCCAACCTCCCCCATGTAAATATCAATTTCTATGTTTGCAAATGGGAGAAATTATACCTGTTTTGACCACCTTAATGAATTGTTATGGCAATGATTGGAAAATAAATAAATAAGAAATTACTTAGGAATATCACATATATTGAATTTTTTCTTTAAAAATATGATTATTTCAGATGAATCTGACAGTATATTATTGCCTTTTCCACCTATTCATTTCAAGAGCATGCCTGCACTTGTCTGTTATTTTTTTTCTCTCCTTACTGCTAGACCTACCCTTAATATATGCAAAGGCCTCTAGCAAAATTGCACATTGAACATATACTGGTCACAAGCCTGAACCTGACTCCTAGCCTAACCTAATTCTCTTGCTGCACTAAAATCTAACCAGCACTGTGGTCTTAGCTAAAATATCTGAGCCTCATGTGCATATATGTAAACACCCCACCTTACAATGCATTATCTACCCCTCTACCACTAAACTAGCCCCGTAGTAAGCCTTTGGATTGAAGGTGCAGGCCTCCCTTGGAAGGTCATCTGGGGAAAGGGGTCTGCACAGGTCCTCGAAGAAGGCTTAAAGCTCTGTAGGAAAGAGCAAAGTTGTAAGAGGGCCTGAGTGCAACCGTCTTAATCCTGGAACTCAGAGAAACACCTGTTGCCTGGGGCTAAGAGCAGACAGTACCGCTCGCTATTTTCTGCCTAATCCAGACTGCTATTAGCTCTTGTGAAGTAGATTGGAATGGTCTCCTAACTATCCTCTCCATAAATTTTGTCTCTCCCATTTTTAAAAAACCTTCCATAAAAGTGATGATTCTAAAGACAAAATCACTCCCATCAACTTTCTAACCATTATTATCCTAGGAACACTAAGCAGCCATTAAAGGTTTTAAAGACAAAGACTTAAAGGTACGTGTGTTCTGGCCTTGCCTATCTCATCAGTTTCATCCCCTGCTGCTTTTCTCAGTGCACTAGCCATGCTGCCCTGTCAGTGAGTGACTAGTGCCATGTTTCCTCTAGCCACAGGGTTGCTGAACATGCTTCTCCCGGTCCTGGGATGCTACACCCATGTTTACAGTTGTCTTGGTTAACCTCTCCTCTTCCTTCAGATCTTCTACTCCAAGTTAATTCTTTCTTTGTATAGTATTGTTTTTCAACCCTAGCTAAACATTAAAATTCTCAAATACCAATGCCCATTCCCCAACCTAGACAATTTAAATCAGGCACATAGGGTAGAGAGGCAGGTCTGAGCATTATTACAAAGCTTTTCAGGTGATACTGATATGAGGACAAGTGTGAGGATAACTGTGCTTTATATCATCTTATAACTACATACATGCACCTCCCATTTATAATTACACAAATCACAAAAAAGTCCAGAAAAGTGGCAAATATCTGTCTTACTCCCTTGTAAGCTCCATGAGGTAAGTGTCACTCACTTATTCATGCATTGATTACTTATTTTTTAAGCACTTTCTGTGTAATAGACTCTGTTCTAGCTTATGGGGATGGAGTCATGAACAGCATCTTCGTATTTCTTCTTGTACAGAATATGTATCTGGGGGCATTGTAGAGTTTTGATATATATTTGATGAACTACTGAATAAATATTCTTATGTTTTCATGTTTACTTTTCTATACATATTTCCCCCTTCCTGAGATAACTCTTCGTTTCCCCCCAAAATACCTAAAACAATGAAGTTTTGAGCCGAGCTTTTTGAGCACTTTAAATAATTGCTCAACTTCCAGCTTCAGATTGTCTTTCATGACAGTCTTTGGGTTTCTTAATTACTGCATTTTGTCTTTCCCTGTCACTCAGATAATAAAACTGTAGTCTGGATTACCATTCTTCAGAAAGAAGGAAAAACAAAAAGTTTTGTGCATTACTTTGTGACATTGCTACGTCACCATCTTTCTCTGTCTTTGGAAATAAATAGTTGGCAGATCTGCAATTTCTTCTGTCTGCTTGTTGGAACCCTTGGCAACATGTCACCTGTTCCAGCAGATTTTTGTATTCAGAGCACAATTCAGAGCTCAGGAAGAATTCTTTGCTGATTTCTTCCAGTAATTAATCATTGCGTACTGCCTCACTATTAGGGAGCCATCTCAGTCTACACATGTGCATTCAATTAAGCCTTGATTGTTTCAATTAATGGATTAACTGGCTACTGTGTTTTGTTTTTGCTGTTTTCTTACTGCATTCCTCTCCAATTCTTATTTTCTAACTCAATTCTTCATGGGCTTTTTTCACTAACAGAAGCACAGGGAGTGGAAAAAACAAAAATAAAGTTAATCTTTAAATCTTTGGTAGTAAATCTCCTGAAAAATGGCAGATATTCAAGCATTTATGGAATAAATAGACTATATGATCATTGCATTTTCTTCTGTTTCCTTAACCTTCATTTCTGAAAAAAAAAAAAAGAAGCATCATAATGAAATAAGAAATTGGAATAACCTGTAGTCAGACTAATTGGCTTTTAATCTGGCCACTGTCCCATCATAATTGTGGTCTTAGCTAAAATATCTGGTCCTTTGTTTTGTTTTTTAATCCATAAATCAATTAATGCCATAGTCATTTGCCTATGGCCAGGAAAAATCGTGGATTATAGATTATTGACTTAATGCTTTATGGTAAACATATAAGAACTTATTCTTCTCCAAACTCGAAAAAGTTGTACCAAATCAATTATTGTGTCAGTAAGCTAATGCCACAATATTGCTGCCAGAAACAACAACGACAACAACAAAAACAAACACATTCTCTTTGGGCATGGTGGCTCACACCTGTAATCCGAGCACTTTGGGAGGCCGAGGCAGGCAGATCACCTGAGATCAGGAGTTCCAGACCAGCCTGGGCCAAAATGGTGAAACCTCGTCTCTACTAAAGATACAAAAGTTAGCAGGGTGTGGTGGCTCGTGCCTGTAATCCCAGATACTCGGGAGGCTGAGGCAGGAGAATCACTTGCACCTGGCAGGCAGAGGTTGCAGTGAGCTGAGATTGTGCCACTGCACTCCAGCCTGGGCAACAAGAGCGAAACTCTGGTTCAAACAAAAACAAAAACAAAAACACATCTCAAACTCAGTCGCTTAAAATGATCCCACACTGTAAAGAAGCTCTGATTGTGGCAGGGACACTTTATGTAGTCTGAGCCCAGCCATTGGTTCTAGGTCTTTGTGTGGCTCTTTCTCTGCCCCAGACTGAAGGGACAGAAACTAACCTAGGAAAACTCTTCTTATGGAATCATAGAAGCCAAAAGGCCAAAGTCCCATGGTGCACAACCACTCTCCAAGCCCCTCCTGTGTTATGTCTGCTAATAGTTGACTAGCAAAAACAAGTCACACAGCCAAGTGCAAAGTCGACAGGAAATTACATTTCAGTTTCAGAGGGAGAGAAAATATTATGTGGCAAAGAACATGGGTGCAGGGAAGGATGAAGAATTGTGGACAAAAATCCCATCTATCCCACTTGTAATGACTGGTCTCAAATTGTGCCCAACCTCTCCAGCTTTCTGTCATTTCCCTAACCATCTACTATACCACTCACCCTATAATAGTTCTCACATAAGGGGACACTTATAATCTTTTTAGAATCTTTAGCGTATATTTTGAAGGTGAGACTTGTAAGTTACATATTATACTCCCAAAGACATGTTTCTAGGAAAAAAACTTATGAAGTGCCTTATATAAATTTTTACTTAATAAATTTACATAAAATATGCAAAGTAATGTCATACTATGTAAGAGAACATAATTTCCTATATTTGCTTAATAAATAAATTGTATTGTGTATATTTAAGGTATATAACATCTAGTTACGAGATACACATAGGTATTAAAATGGTTAGTATAGTGAAGCAAATTAATGCACCCACCATCTCACATTGTTCCTTATTTTTTTGTTTTGTTTTGTTTTTGTCGTAAGAGCAGTTAAAATCTACTCATTTAGCAAGAATCCAAAAATAGTAGAATTTTATTAACTATCGTCCTTTTGCTGTACATCTCTAGAATGTTCATCCTCTGCGTATGCTACTTTGTAAACTCTAACCTGTATCTTCCCATTTCCTCCCTCTCCCCACTGCTAATAACCATGGTTTTCTTCTCTATAACTATATATTTGAATTTTCTTTCTTTTTTTATTTTAAATATATGTGAGGCCATGCACTGTTTTTCTTTCTGTGTCTGGTTTATTTCACTTAGCATAATGTCCTTCAGTTTCACTCATGTTGTGACAAGTGGCAAGATCTTCTTTTGATGGCTGAATAGTATTCCATTGTGTATATATAACCACAATATTTAATCCATTTATCCAGGGATGGATACTTAGGTTTTCTCCATATCTTAGCTATTATAAATAGTGCTTCAGTGAACATGGAAGTGCTTTATGATAGTGGAACATGGAAGTGCAGCTTTCTTTATGAGGTGATGATGTTTTTTCCTTTGGGTATATGCCCAGGAGATGGACTGCTACATCATACAGTAGTCCTATGCTTTAATTTTTAGAGGAATCTCTACATTGTTTTTCACAGTGGCTACACCATTCTACATTTCCACCAACAGTGTACAAGAGTTCCCTTTTCTGTACGCTCTTGCCAACATTTGTTATCCCTTGTCTTTTTGATAACAGCCATCCTAGCTGCTGTGAGGAGTTATTTCATAGTGGTTTTGATTTTCATTTCCCTGATGATTCACGATGTTGAGCACCTTTTCATACATCACCTCTCACGTGGCCCCACCTCCAACACTGCAGATTACAATTCAACATGAGATTTGGATGAGGACAATTAGGCAACCTATATTAGTTTCACTTGTTAATTTTTGTTTTTCTTGCAATCACTTTTGGAGTCTTCATCATGAAATCTTTGCAAGAGTCGATGTCCAGAATGATATTTCCTAGGTGTTTATCTAGGGTTTTAATAGACTTAGCTATTATATTGAAATCTTTAATGCATCATGCGTTGATTTGTGTGTATGGTGAAAGGAAATGGTCCAGTTTCAATCTTCAGCATATGGCCAGCCAGTTATCCCAGCACCATTTGTTGAAAAGGAAGTCCTTTTTCCATTGCTTGTTTTTATCAACGTTCTCAAAGATCAGATGCTGTATGACCATTTTAACAATATTCATTCTTCCTATCTGTGAGCATGGAATATTTTTCCATTTGTTTGTGACATCTACGATTTTGTTCTGCAGGGTTTTTTTTTTTTGTGATTCTTGTTGAAGTCTTTCACCTCCCTTGTTAGCTGTATTCCTAGGTATTTTATTCTTTTCGTGACTATTGTGAATGGGGTTGCATCCATGATTTGTCTCTCTCCTTCAACATTATTGGTGTATAGAAATGCAACTGATTTTTGAACATTGATTTTGAATCCTGAAACTTTACTGACATTGTTCTTCTTATCTAGGAGCCTTCGGGGAGAGCATATGGAGTATTCCAAGTATAGAATCATATCATCTATGAGGAGACATATTTTGACTTTATTCTTATTTGGATGCTTTTTATTTACTCCTCTTGCCCGTTTCCTCTGGCTATGAGTTTCAGTACTACATTAAATAGGAATGGTGGGAGTGGACATCCTTGCCTTGTTCAATTTTCAAGGAAAATGCTTCCAGCTTTTGCCTTTTCAGTATGACGTGGCTGTGTGTTTGTCAGAGATGGCTCATTATTTTGCAGAATGTTCCTTCAATGTGTAGCTTGTTGAGGGTTTTCACGTAAAGAGATGTTGAATTCTATAGAAAGCCTTTTCTGCATCTATTGAGATGATCATCTGGTTTTTGCTTTTAGTTCTGTTTGTGTGATGAATCACAATGATTGATTTGCACATGTTGAAACAACCTTGCATCCCAAGAATGAAGCCTACTTAATCATGGTGGATTATATTTTCAATGCACTGCTGGATTTAGTATGGTAGTATTTTGTCGAAGATTTTTGTATGTATGCTCATCAGGGATATTGGCCTGAAGTTTTCTTTTTTAACTTGATCTCTGCCCGATTTTAAAATCAGGATGGTGCAGGCCTTATAGAATGAATAGGGAGGAGTTCTTCCTTCTGAATTTCTTTGGAATCATTTATTTGTATTGGTTCCAGCTCTATTTTATGTGGCTAGTAAGAATTTGAGTGTGACTACATCTGACCCAGGCCTTTTGTGGGTTGGTAGGCTTTTTATTGTTGATCCAATTTGTAACTCGTTATTCGTCTGTTCAGGGTTTTAACTTCTTCCTAGTTCAATCTTGGCAAGTTTCTATTTCTCCTAGATTTTCTAATTTCTTTGTGTAAGGGTGCACATAATAGCCTCTGAGGGTTTATTCATAGATATATATATTTTTTCAATCTATATTTCTGTGGGGTCAGTGATAATGTCCCTTTTGTTATTTCTTATTCTTTTTATTATAATCTTCTCTCTTCCTTAATTAGTCTACCTAGTGGTCTATCAATCTTGTTTATTCCTTCAAAAAAACTAACTTTTCATTTTGTTGATCTTTTGTATGGCTCTTCATGTCTCAATTTTATTCCATTCAGCTCTGTTTTTGGTTATTTCTTTTCTCCTGCTAGTTTTGGGGTTGGTTTGCTCTTCTTTTTCTAGTTCTTCTAGATGTGATGATAGGTTGTTAATTTGAGATATTTCTGACTTTTTGATGTGGGCATTTAGCACTATAAACTTCCCTGTTAACATGACTTTAGCCATATCCCAGAGATTCTGGAATCTTGTATCTTCATTTTCATTTGTTTCAAAGAATTTCTTGATTTCTGCTTTAATTTCATTGTTTACCCAAAAGTCTTTCAGGAACAGATAGTTTAATTTCCACATAATTGTATGCTTTTGAGAGATATTTTTGGAGTTGATTTCTATTTTAATTACCCTGCGGTCTGAGAGTGTGGTTGGTATGTTTTTTTTTTATTTGTCAAGAATTGCTTTATGGCAGAGCATGTGTTCTATTTCAAGTTATATGCTATGTGTAGATGAAGATAATGTATATTCTGTTGTTGTTGGGTGAAGTGCCCCCTAGAAGTCTGTTAGGTACATTTGGTTCAGTATAGAGTTTAAGTGCCAAATATTTTTGTTAGTTTTCTGCCTCAATGGTCTGTCTAGTGCTGCCAGAGGGATGCTGATGTCTCTCACTATTATTGTGTGGTTATCTATGTGTCTTCATAATTCTTTAAGAACTTGTTTTATGAATCTGGGTGTTTCAGTGTTGGGTGCATATATATTTCTGATAGTTAAGTCTTGTTGAATTGAACCCTTTATCATTATGTAATGCCCTTCTCTGTCGTTCATGATTCTTACTGCTTCAAAGTCTGTTTTGTCTGAAATAGGAAGATCAACCACTGCCCTTTTTTGTTTTTTGTTTGCTTGGTAGATTTTTCTCCATCTCTTTTCTTTAAATCTATGGGTGTCGTTGCATTGAGATGAGTCTCTTGAAGATAGCACACAGTTGGATCTTGTTTCTTTATTCAACTTGCCACTCTGTGCTGTTTAAGTGGGACATTTAACCTGTTTACTTTAAAAGTTAATATTGATATGTGTGTATTTGATATTGTCATTGTGTTGTTAGCTGGTTGTGATGTAGATTTGATTGTATACTCACTTTATAGTGTCAATGGTCTATGTATATAAGTGTGTTTTTGTGGCGGCCAGTAACTGTTGTTTCCGTATTTAGCATTCCCTTAAGGGCCTCTTGTAAGGCAGGTCTGGTGGTAACAAATTCCCTTAGCATTTGCATGTCTGAAAAGCATTTTATCTCCTTGCTTAAGAAGCTTGGTTTGCCTGAATATGAAATTATCTCTTGGAATTTATTCGCTTTAAGGATGCTGAATATATGCCGTCGATCTCTCCTGGCTACAGAGTTTCTGCTGAAAGGTTTGCTGTTGGCCTGATGGGATTCCCTTTGTAGGTGACCTGCACCTTCTCTCTAGCTGACTTTAATATTTTTTTTCTTTCTCATTGTCCTTGGAGAATCTGATGATTACGTGTTTTGAGGATGGTCTTCTTGTATACTGTCTTTCAGGGCTTCTCTGAATTCCCTGAATTTGAATGTCAGCCTCTCCAGTAAGGTTGGGAAATTTTTCATTGACAATGTCCTCAAATATGCTTTTCAAGTTGCTTGCTCTCTCACCTCCACTTCAGAGATGCCAAGGAGTCGTAGGTTTGATCTCTTTACATTATGCCATGTTTCTTTTTTTCCCTGATTTTTATTATTTTTTCTTTCTTTTTGTCTGACTCAGTTAATTTGAAGAACTTGTCTTTAAGCTCTGAGGTTCTCTCATCAGCTTTGTCTATTCTGCTGTTAATACTTCTGAAAGTATTATTAAATTATTGTAGGGAGCTTTTCAGCTCTATTATATCAGTCTGGTTCTTTCTTAAAATGGCTATGTCATCCTTCAGCTCTTGTATAGTTTCACTGGATTCCTCAGTTCCTTCTATGTGCTTTAACTTTCTCCTGAATCTTGATCATCCTCATTGACATCCAGATTCTAAATTCTATGTCTGTCATTCCAGCCATTCTGGGCTGATTAAGAACCGTTGCTGTGGAGCTAATGAAGCTATTTGGAAGTAAGAAGGCACTCCGGCTTTTTCAGTTACCAGAGATCTTGTGTTTGTTCTTTTTTCTCTGTGTGGGCTGACGTCACTTTAATATTTGAAGTTGCTCTCCTTTGGATGGGGCTCTTTGCTTTTATATTCTTTGAAGCTCTTTAGGTGTAATTGTGTTATGAGTTGGGTTCAGTCAACTGCATGATTTCAGGGAGCCAAGGCTCAGCCCACCACTCTTGGGTTGCTTGCTCTAACCCTGGGGTACTGGGAATAGGCTCACACCATTGTTCTCTGGTCCCAATAGTTTAAACATCTGCTCTTCTAGAGAAGCTGAGGTGGGCCTGGACTGCTGTGGAACAGCACTTCAATGTGGAGTGCTGGCAATAGTGCTTTGTTGGGACAGTGGCAGCACAATATGGTTTTTGTGTATGGGTGCACTGGTGGTGGCAGGGTGGCCGTATGGTGCTATCCTCACACATGTGTTCTGGGAGTAGTGAGGCAATGCGGTTTGTGTGTGTGTGTGTGTGTGCACCATTGTCAGTTGTGCAGTGGAGTCCACATGCACATGTATGCTGTCAAAACATTGTGGGTAGGCTGTGGGCAGGTGCACACCAGCAAAGCACTGGGAAGTCACTGCAGGCAGGTGTGTGCCAGTGGGGACCCATCTGCAGAAGTTCTCTGAAGGTTAGACATGGTATGCTAGTGAAGAAGCTATGGCAGTGACAGCAGGAAAGTGCCCAAAATGGACATCTTAGGCTGTTCTGCAAGTAGGTGTGACTGGGAAGGGACCCTGGGAGCAACCAGCAGACAGTGGGGAACTCAGATCAGACTGGCCCCGTCCCACAGGCACGATAGCCATGTTCTTCCCAAGTCCAACAGTCAACAAAGGCCAAAGCCAGGTAGAGGAGCATGGCAATCCATGAGGGATGGGTGTCCCTGGCCACGTTCCACTGCAGCTGTTTCCATGCCACGACTTCTGGACTCTGCATAGGCTGGAGGCCTGTCCCTGCCAACTCTCCAAACAGCTCGCCATGCCAGCTCAAAGGTCCATGGGAGTTGTGAGGCCTCCTGCAGCTAGGATTCTGAAAGTCCTTGGCAAGAGTGAGCCATTGCATGCCTATTTAATTCATGCCTTCCTAGGAGCTTCCTGGAGTTCAGCAACTCCATGCTGCATTCCTGGATTCCTCTTCCTTCAGCCCAGGGTCCGTGGCCTCCATTCATCAACACTCAATGCCTTCCTTCTAAGGATCTGTTTGGAGTGTGCTGGTCTTCTTTGTGGTCTGGCCTCTGGATAAAAGAATCTCTTCCTGGCAGCATCTCAGTTACTGATTTCTGTATATTGACTTTGTATTCTGCAACTTACTGAATTTATCAGTTCTGACATGGATTTTTTTGTGAAATGTTTGAGGTTTTCTAAATATTAAATCATATCATCTACAAATATGGAAAATTTTACTAATTTTATTCAGACTTGGAAGCCTTGTTTTGTCTGACCTTGCTAATACTTTCAGTTCTATGGTGACTAGAAGTGAGAGTAGGCATCTTTGTCTCATACTGTATTATATTAGAAGAGTTTTCAGTTTTTCCTCATTGCTTATAATATTAGGTGTGAGTTTTTCTTAATTGCCTTTATCGTGTTGAAGAACTTCCCTTCTATATGTAAATTGTTCAAACTTTTAATAAGAATGCAATGTTAAACTTTGTCAAATCATTTTATGTGTCAATTGAGATAATCACATGATTTTTATCTTTCATTATGTTAATGTGATATATCAAATTAATTGATTTGCATATGTTAAGCCAGGCTTATATGCCAAGGATAAATCCTACATGGTCATGATGTATAATCTTTTTGATGTGCTGTTGGATTCTGTTTCCTAATATTCTATTGAGGATATTTGCATCAATGTGGATCAGATAAATTGTCCTATAGTTTTCTGTTCTTGTGATGTCTTTATCTGGTTTAGGTATCAAGGTGATGCTGACCTTATAAAATGTGTTTAGAAATAATCTCTCTAGCTCTATTTTTTAGATGAGTTTAAGGAGTATTGGTATTAATTCTTCTTTGTAGAATTCAGCCATGAAGACATCTGATTCTTGGCTTTCTTTTTTAGTTGTTTTATTACTTCTTTAATCTCTATTTGCTACTGATCTATTCAAGCTTTCCATTTTCCTGATTCAATCATGGTAGGTTATATTTTATTCAGAATGTATCTGTTTCCTGTAGGTTACTTAGTTTTTGGCATATATAGTATTTTTTCATAAGTCTCTTAAAATCATTTTTATTTCTAATTCATCTGTTGTAATATCTTCAGTTTAATTTTTGATTTTATTTTTTCTAGTCACTCATTTTTTTTCTTAGTCTAGCTAAGAGTTTGTAAATCTTAAGTATTTTTTTAAAAATCAACTCTTTTTATTAATTTTTGTGTTTTTTCTATTTTCTATTTCTGTTCTCATTTGTATTTTTTTTCTTTATTCTGCTAACTTTGGGTTTAGTTTGTTTCTCTCTTTCTAGTTCCTTAATGCATCATATTAGGCTACTTGTGTGAAATATTTTTTTTTATTTTTAAGTAGGCATTTCTCACTATAAACTTTCCTTTTAGAACTGCTGTTACTGTATCCCATACGTTTTGATATATTGTGTTTCTTTGTCATTTGTCTCAAGACATTTTAAATTTTACCTATGATTTCTCCTTTGATTCATTTGTTGTTGTTCAGAAGCAGGTAGATTAATTTTTACATCTTTGTAAATTTTTCAATACTCCATTTGTTATTGATATCTAGTTTCATACCATTGTGATGAGAAATAGTTCTAGATATGATGTCCATCGTCTTAAATTTTTAAAGACTCATTTTGGGTCTTAACATTTGGTCTCTGCTGGAGAATGTTTCATATGCACTAAAGAAAAATGAATATTCTGCTGCTGTTAGATGGGAAGTTTTGTATTTTCCCTCTAATTGAGTTATGTAAATAACAGGGCTGAATCCATGAGCAAATTTTGGGGGATAAAGGTAATTTGGTTTGCAAATATTTCTAGAGTCATTGCAATTGTATCTACATTCTCATATGAAGGGCAACACAAAAGCACATATCTGAAATTTTGTGACTTAAATTCTTACTAAGAACATGTACTGGTAACAATGGAAGGAAACCTGGAGATGAACTTGTCAAACCCTTCTCCTGTAGTTGAGTCACCATCCTTAATAATCATATCCCCAGGAGCTACTGATATATATATAAAGATACCTATGTTCAAAGGAGACAATCTTTATGACTCTTTTTTTCCTCAGGTCTTTGATAAAGTAAAGGTAGAAAAACGGAACAATATGACTGACTCTAGACATCACCCTACGGCCTAATAATTTGCTGCTTCACATCTGCTGTAGCATGGGTAATGAGCTGATGGCAGCCAATGAAGTTTGGGCCCATATGGTTCACCTGGGGTGCATGATAAGACTAATTCCACTTCCTGTGAAGCAGACATTGGGATCTCTCCTATAAGTGGAAATCATTTAAAGTTCTATCCATCAGAGAAATGGTGTGTTTAAACAAAAGAAAAATGATGTCTATTAAAGTAGTAGATCTTAGACTCAAATTTCATGTTAGTTTCCCTGCACCTATGCCTTGCAGAGAGTGCGTGACCAGGGTGCTAAGGCAGAGTTCACATTATGCAGAAGCAATTGGCAAGAAAAGTGTTCTGGCACAAAATTATTTCCTGGATAATATGGAACAGTGCCTGTGTGTCTCAGAGAGACAGCCACTTAAGAGCTGGGTTATTGAGATTCCTGAAAGTCCCTGTCTTTATTTCCTTATCCGTTAACTACATTTTTTTCTATATAAATTCAAGAAATGTTTATATAGTGCTGTATTAGTCAGGATTTTACAGAAAAAGAGTGAATTGGGAATGTGTGTGTTGTGATGTGATGTCTGTGTGTGTAGGTAGTGATATATATATATATATGAAAGAGAGAGAAACAGAGAGAAATTTATTAAAGGAATTGACTCACATGATTATGGAAGTCTAGAAATCCCAAGATCTGCCATCTGTAAACTGGAGAACCAGGAAAGCTGGTAGTGTAATTCAGTCTGAGACTGAAAGCCTGGGAACCAGGTGCACTGAGGTCTGAACACAGGAGGAGAGGGATAACATAGCTCAAACAGGGAGCAAACACATCCTTCCTTTACCTTTTTGTTCTATTGAGGTCCCCAATGGATAAAATGATGCCCATCCACATCAGTGAGGACAATCTTCTTTACTCAGCCTACTGATCTAAATGCTAATCTCATCCAGAAACATTCCCACAGACACACCCAGCAATAATGCCTTACTAGCTGAGCATCCCTTAGCCCTGTCAAATTGAAACATAAAATTAATCATTGCAAGTACCTACTGTGGGCCTCTAATGAAGAGATGTTCAAATCTCTAGCCCACTGTTGAAAATAGATTTTCTGTCTTTATTAATTTGTAGAAGCTGTTTATATATTCTGAAATGGAGCCCTTTTCTTAGTTATATTTATTACAAACCTTTTTTTTCACTCTGTGATTTGTATTTTCACTCCCTTAATAGACTCTTTGAATGAATAGACGTTGTCAAATGCAATAAATTCCAATTTAGAGATTTTTTTTTCTTACGGTTGATACTTTCTGGGTCCTGTCGGAAAGAAAGCTTTACTTACCTCAAGGTCATAGACATTGTTTAGCCCATGTTTAACTCACAGACATTACTTACCTCAAGGTCATAGACATTTATTATTGTAATAATAAATATAAACTTTATTATTTCAGACGTACAATCCACCTAATTGATTGGGGAAATGGGTATGTGTGTATGGCACTGTCATGGGATCCTTGGGGTGTCACATCACTAGCCGGAAACCTCTGTGGCCGGCGGCACCTTCTGCCTGAGTATTGCTTGTGCCCGTTGGACCCATTCTGCCCACTCGCCTGGCAGGCTGTGCTCACCTCACGCTACTGGCCCGGATCCCATACTTGCCAACGGTAAGCCAGGAGCAGAGTGGTGAGGGGTGTATGGGTGAGCGAGCACAGGGTCCGGCCGCTGCACACAGCCAGGCACACAGGGCGGGCAGCTCCAGGCGCCAGCACAACTGTGTGTTCTGTGTGAGGGTGCGGCTGGACCAGATGTACTGCACGTGGCTTTTGCTGCGGGCACCTGCATCTGAATGAGGGGAACGCAGTGGCAACCAGAAGCTTGGAGACTCCAGGAACCACAGAGCCCCAAAGAAGGGCATGTTTCAGCCCTGTTTGTGTTACTGCTCTTTCAGTACCACCATTCGGCAAGTCTGGAGTTCTTATCCCAAGTTCAGGAAGAATAAGGTGACAACTGGAGGGTGAGCAAGGAGGAGAGAGTAGCTTTATGGAGTGACAGAACAGCTCTCAGGAGACCTGAAGTGGGTAGCTCCTTTCCGCAGCCAGGTGACAGTGATGAGTGTCCAGCTCTCAGCAGAGAGGAGACTGCGCAGGGTAGAACTCCTTTCTGCAGGCAGGTCATCCCAACGCCTGTTAGAATTTGGCAGAGTCCAGGGTTTTTATGGACTCATAAAGGAAGAAGTTCATGCTGATTGGTCTATGGGCAGTCATCTGCGAGCTGGGAAAAAGCACCGTCAGTTCTCACTCCGCACTGTGGACTCCACCAGGAACTGGCAGCCTGGCCCCCAGGCTTCAGGCCATCCCTGGCTTGAAGGTGGGGTTTGAATGGGAACCCAAGCCTTTGAGCCCAGGAACCTGTTGTCTTCCTCCTGCCGTCAACATGCCATCCACGGTGCCCCTGTTTTTCATGCTAAGGGGCGCCTGCAGGTCCACCTGGAGCCACCCTTAGCCCCGCCTCGACCTCCTTCCCATGCTCATTGGCACCTAAAGTCCAGAGGGGGCTGAGGTTGCAGGGGGCCATCGTGTCAGCACTGCCCTGAGCACGTGCACACCCAGCCGTGTTGCGAAAGCGCCTGGGCTCAGCCACAATTTTGCTCTGTCCCTGTGCGGGCACTGGGAGTGATCGCAGACACTTTCGACCCTGCAGGGACAGGGGGTTTCCTGGGCCTCCGAGAGTACAGAGATGCTCGGGTCCAGAACCATGGCTGGGCGGCTGCAGCTGCACCCGGAAGTGCGGGCTTCCTGCCCCTCCAACTTGGTGGAGGGCAGCGGTGCCACCTGTTCCCGGTCCCTGCTTGCTCTGTGAAGCACGCACCCCACGCCTCCTCGGCTGTAGATGATGTCCCCACAACAGCTGCTCCAGACAGGCCGCCACCACCATCTGCACAAAGTGGAAAGTAATCAAGTTTCTTCATTTTTCCATTTTGAATAACTAATTAGCACAACAACCGTTATAAAAATATTATTTTCTCACATTTTTGCAATTATATTTTTGTCATGAAAATGTTTCCAGGGACTGGGCATGCTGTTTCAAGCCCGTAATCTCAGCACTTTGGATGGCTGAGATGAGAGGATTGCTTAAGACTAGGAGTTCAAGACCAACCTGGGCAACAGAGAGATACTATGTTCTATAATTTTTTATTTTTACTTTTAATTAGCTGGGCTAATTAATCCTAGCTACTCAGGAGGCTGAGATGGGAGGATCACTTGAACCCAGGAGATGGAGGTTCCAGTGAGCTATGGTCAGGCCACTGCACTCTAGCCTGGGAGACTAGAGTCATAATGCTGTTGCCTTTTAGCAGCTTTGATGTCCGATAGTCTAAGTCTTTAAACTTTTTTTTTTTTCAAAATTGCATTTTCTGTCTGTAAGACTTTGAATTTATGTTTTTGAAAATATTTTATCTATTCAGAATATATATGTAGCATAGTGCATAAATCATGAGTGTAAGTTCAATGCCTTTTCACAAATTTATTATACCCCCATACCTAGCAGTCAAGAATTCACTTTGAGCCTTTCTAAACTCACTCCTATCACCAATCCCAAAAGTAATCACTATTCTATTATTAGATTAACTTTTCATGCTTTTGAATTTATATAAGTAGAATTATTTAACCAGGCTACTCTTTCTGCCCACTTGTGTCCACACTTTTGGCTTTTATCAATAATGCTAATATAATTATTCTTATACGTGATTTTATGTATACATATATACATACATTTCTGTATGTATACATTTTAAGATATATAATTAAAAGTGGAATTTCTAGTTTGTAGGGTGTGCACATGTTCAACTTTAGTAGTTAACAGAAAACAATATATTTTAAATGTTCTCTTTCTTTTATGAGTGCTTTTTACAACTGTTTCCTTTAATTTACTAACTCTCTCTTTAGCTCTGTCTTATCTGTTATATCTCTTTTTATCCCGAGTGTTTTTATCTTTTAGGTTTTTTCTCTTTGTGGTTTTGGTGATTGTTGTTATTATTTCATGTTGTCTGGTTTTCCCATATGCATGATGATTTTCAATTAAATGCTAAGTTTTGCATATGAAAATTTGTAGAAATAGCCTGACAGTTGGAAGTGATAACATGGTTTTCTGGAGGGACAATCCCAGGACCTTTTATTAGCGGGTATTTGTTTCTGGTTGGCAGCTGGGCCTTGAGCTTCATTCAGTAAGTCCATATTATTTTAATCTAGTTAAAATTTTAAGTGATTTTAAACTAGATGGCACACATTTTCAAGGTCAGTTTATACCCTCTTGTCTTTTACTGATAGGGTTTTCCTTTGGGCCTTTAATTCAAATCATGATGGTGTTACCAAGCCCCTTGTACTTCAGAGGACCCTAACTACATTTTCCCTCTGACACACAGACTGTTAAAATCGATGCTCAGCCCCCGCCATTCAGCTGGTGTTTGGAAATCAAGTCTCTCAATAAAAATGCAGTATAAAATGCCAGTCTCAGCAGCCAGGGCTTCAGGTCCCACTTGAAATTTGATCTTTTCATTCCTCGCTTTCCTGACTTGGTATTTCTCCAATAACTTCACACATTAAAAAAAAAAATTCTGGTTTTCTGAGTGAAATAATTAAGTATCATACAGCTGTACATGGCCTGAAACACTGCCTTAATTGGCAAAATAGTAAAAGAAAAAAATCCAAAATAATGCTTTCTAGTCCCCTTCACACCGCCATCCCTTTTTCCCCAAGGCTGTTAAGTAATAGAGTCAGTTAGACTTAATAGGGAACAAATTAGGTAAATTATTTGTGGCTAGCCCAGGAGATAATGCTCTATATTTTTCAATGCTTGTTATCCTGTTTAAAGCTATAAGGTTTTAATTATTACTTCAATTGGATCTTACAATATAAACTGGAGACTTAATCACATTATTTTTGCCTTTAGACCTAGATGGACTTTACTGATCCAAAGATGGTGACTGGGAAATATCATTTCCTCAACAAAAAAGTGAGAAGTATATGTCACCACTCTGTGAAAAATTTGAGCAGAGAAATAATATAGATTTTTTTTGTAGAGCAAACACAAGTGGTAAAATTATATCTCAGATATTACATTTCCTTTGGGATAATCTATTGAATATAACCCTATCATTTTGGTCAGAATCATTTTAACTGTGGGGTTTTTGGAAAGGTAAGTGTCTTTCTACTTCCCCAGCAGAAGACTAGATCATGTCTCATTCAGAACTTTTGGGGTATTGCACTTTTTATCTTCATCATAAAAGAATATGAAACAGCAAACACATCATGCTCCCTAAGTGTAGAAATCTCTTCATTTCCTTTCATTTGTCTTTTTCTGTTATATTCTCTCTCTCTCTTTCTGACTCTCTCTCTATTTCTCTTTCATTCTGTCTTTTTCCTTCCTCCTAAACCAGTATATGTTACACAGGAAATAAATTTTAGATAGCTGAACATAGAGATGAGTCATTTCTCAAGATAAGCTCTCACTCTAATAAGGACATATGTACCAGAATTTTAGTCCTTTGATTTATGGTGAGAACTCTTACTATCCTATCCACCAGAAAACTCACAACTTGCACATGAATTTTCTATTCTCTTCTTTATTAACAAGCTAAGATGTTATATAGAGTTTCTGTCCTCAGGGAGCCTACTTTCTAGTGGGTCTCACTGCTTGCTCATTTATGTGCTAGGCACTGTGATTGGCATTTGGAAGTAATTGAATAAATATTTACTTACATGAGCAATTGGATGAAAGGAAGAAAATGAACGGCTGATTGCTGGGTGACCATGGAATTAGAACAAACGGAATTAGGTGTTTCAAATACTTATTATGTTAAAGTTATACTAAATTGAAATGTCCATATCCCAAGTAAGAGTGCCTTTCACAAAAGCAAAAAGTCTGGGTTCCTATTTTAACTTGATTACCTTGGGTGAGGTATGGTGAGACCAGACATAGATCATGTGAGAGAAACTAGGAAGAGTTTTACAGTTTGGTTCTGCTCACAGTTCCCTGAAGAGAATGCAGCATACAATACAGTCACTCAAGACAAGAACCAGGTTGTTACTTGGCAAGAGAGGGGAGGAGGGCTATGGACAAACACCTTCACTGTGGTTTCTTTGGAAATAAAAGAGTGAGACAAGAAAAGCAGAGGGGTTGGGTAACTTCAATACTTTCTGGAAAATAGGACTTGTCCTTGGTTGGCTGGTCCTGGCCCTGGGATGATTAAGGGGGGTGTAGAGCAGCTCAGAGTCTCAGGAAGGGGATCTGACCAGCTGGCTTCTAGCCAGCACATGATGTAGTCTATTGCTGACTCAAGACAGCACTCGCACACACATACACACATACCCCTAAATTATAGTTTCTGCATTTCCTCTTTCACCTCCAAGAAAAGCTGTCATTGGCCTTAGCAACATATGCTTCACAGATATAGAAATAATAATAATAGCAGAAAGTAATAAAAAATATTAAGAGAGAGAAAGAAAAAAAGAAAAGAAAAGAAAGAGAGAGAAAGAGAGAGAAAGGGAGAAAGCTAATGACCTCATCTCCCCAATAAGTGCCCTTTTCTTGCCAGATCAATGTCTTTATCTAAAAGACAAATTCTTCTTTTAGATACAATTCCAATATTTATAAGTCTATCACCAATTTATTCTTTGGTGCCTGTGAACAGAACCATTTTTTAAGTTATCTTTCATTGTAAAAGCAATAGAAAGGATGAGATAAGATTAGGAAAACCTAAGATAGGAACCCCAGACTGCTATTACTCTGTTCAACACTTTCCTTTCCTCTTCTGACATAAAATGGGTGTGGAAGAGCAGTAAATGTCTCTTTTTAAATAAATTAGGTAAAGGGAGTACAATGTTATTTAATGGACATAATACATAGTGGTTTTGTATTTCCATTTGTAGTGACATTGGAAAACCAAGTAGAAACAATTAGCAAACTGTGTGTAACCTATTTAAACATTCACTAAAATGAGGCTTGTAAATTTTAATAGCGAGGTTTTCAAGGTCTATCTTGGGTTATCTATTCTTACAGAGAAATGTCCTACTTATATTACCATATTTTTTTTTCCTATAAAGGTTAGCCTGGCAAAAGCAGAAAGGAGAAACACACCACACACACACACACACACACACACACACACACACACACACACACAATCACCTTTGATACTTGCCAGTGAAATATCTTGACTTGTCAACAGAGAGGTAGTTTTCCCCGATGGCAAAGACTTCATGACAATAAAGTTTGATGTTTAATTTAACATCTTTTAAGTATTTTTCTTACAAATATTATGCTATTATAAAAACTGGTTTTTGATGAGATAATTGACTTGTGTCATTTCAGTTGCTTCCTAATGTTTGTTTACATATGTGATGTTTTAGAGATTTTTTGACTACATTGGAATTTTACATGCTATTTTGATACAGATTTCAGGTAAAGACTTCACATGAATAAATGCAATCAAATTTTTCATGTGGTATTGAATCTCATGAAAGTACAATGGAAGGAGGACTGCCATGATGGGCACTCATGCTGAACTGCTAGCAGAAAACCTATAGTAGCCAAAAAGCCAACAGTCGTCAGGTGGATATATCTCAATTTAGCATGCTTTAAAGGGAACTTTCAATATCATACTGAAATTGTGAAAATGCACTTGTACATTTTTTCTTTCCAAAGTATCAATCATCAAGCATTCATATGTGGCATTATAATTAAAACACAGTGTGGATTTGGAGAAAAAGAAGAAAATGTATGATATTTGGAGTTTATATTGTAAAGACTTGCAAAAATTTTTATTAAGACTTTAGTCATCCTTTCCACCTAAACTGACTGAGTTCCCACCACATATCATATACACTATTAATGTGTTAGTTACAGGAGACAGAGAGATATAAAAGGCACAGTTACTTCTCCAATCAGGGCAGTCATTGTAGGACAAGTTGGCCATAGATTATGACAACTTACAAGATGGAATTTGTTTTGGATTTGTTTTAGTTGTTTGTTTTTTCACAAGTGCCACAGTGTTGACTTATGGACTAAATTCAGGTGATAAGTTATTTAATAATTTAATCTGAGACTTCAATTTACAGTAGTCTTTTGTCTTGAAAGTCTTGTTTACTTGAGGATGTAAGTAGCGTATATTAAGGTTGCACAATATTAAAAACATATAATGCTGGAATATAGTTTGCAAAATTGAGATAAGCAGAATATAAGGCAATGCAAAACATTTAACAATTTTGAAAACGGAGAAGCATTGAAAGTTTGGCAGGATAATGTCAGTATGGAATTAAATGGTCTTAATAATGACTATGCCATCTTTCCATGGAGTGGATGGGAGACTATGCCAGTTAACTCTTTACGCTCCTATCTATTACCTCTTCTTCTCTTGCTCTATTCTCTTATTCAGGGTGATGATATTTTCCAGATTCCCCTTTTCTCTGACTTCGACTTCTCTTCATTCCATAAGACACCTTCATATCACAAATATTATCTAAATCAGATATAGGTGAGACTGAAGTACAAGTCTGCTCCATTTCTCCAGGCATGCAACATGAAGGAGGCTTCCTCTAGCTTTCTGCTTTGCAGTCTTTTTCAACAGCATCTGGTGAGGTTCATGGAAGAATCTGAGAGTGCATGTCAACTCCCCCGTTGTCTGTGACTCCCAGGGCTTTTGTACTCAGAGGTTATAACATACTCAGTATTGAAGAGTATTTTAAATATCTTAACTGAATTCTTTTCTAATTGTATGGCAGCAATTTGTCATCCCACAATTTTCCCCAAGTAATGGAATATTCATGTCTTTTCTCTCTTTGCAGGCAGTTTTCTTACCTTAAATTCCAGGCTAGTTGCTTTCACTGTGATTTTGGCTCTTTGATTAGTTCAATAAAAGTTATGATTTTGTATATTATCCAACTTTTCTTTGTTAGAATGGACAAAATTCTGTGTCCCCTTTCTACTTCCTAAGAAAAAGACACAAGTCCTCAGAATACTTTCTATACCATAAGTTTACTCTGCCCTTACTTCTTCATATTGTTCTAGGAGTTTTAGTTTGTAAAAAAAGCAAAATTTCATTTTTATGCATGATCACATTATTGCCTCTCTTATCTTTTCCCTTTACAGTACTGAAAAATAAATACTTAGGAAACAATAATTCCAGTAACTATTTTCCCCAAAATAAAGGAGAGCTATCACAAAGGTGTGGTTCTCAACTCTAGAAATCCCTAGCCTCATTCTCCTCTTCCATAATTTGAAGGCCAGTATGTACTACTGCAATAAAGAGTCTTCAAATGTAGGTGCAGTGTATCAAAAACATCTAAAATTTCCTCAGATTTTCAGGTCTTGATATTGATCTGGACATTTAGAAAATTGTAGACTCTAGGCAGAATGGTGAGACCTTACCAACAGTTCTGCTTGTCTTTATTATTTTTAATCAGTGATATAGGATAACAAAGATGTTTCATGGATTTTTATTCTACTAACATGATTCTGATTCTTGTTGATGATAAAAGGAATATTTACTTATGTTTCATCTTACTGCATTAGTCTTATCTTTCTCGGTGAACAACAATGTCTTAAAAGTAATTCCTCCAAAAATTTTAACTCTAGTTTTTTTCTAAATGCCTACAGTTTCACTAGAAATATTATTCACCAACCCTACCATCATCCCATTATATAAAAATATACACCTGCTAAATGATAGTGTTAAGACCTTTCTTAATACATTTGTGTCAGGGTCATTGGAGCTATGGTCTTTTGCTAATATTTAGAGGGGATTAATCATAATAATTATAGAGTACAAAGTGAATAGTGTTTTTATCTGATTTAATAATGGCAAAGTGAAAAGTTTTTCTGTCATTCTAAGTATTGTTTATTTTACATTAGGCAAAAATACCAACAAAAAAAGAGAAACAGCACTTATTAAGCATATACAGCATATCAGATGCTGTGAGATATGTTAAATACAGTATTTCTAATTTGCACTGTTGAATCAAAGGAGTTGACACTCAAGAAATTGAATCAATATCTTGAAATCAAAGCAAAATTTTAATTCGCATCTCTTGAATTACAAGTCATGCACCTTCTCTTGAACTCTTACAGATTACTTCCATATTGAAAATCATTTAAAAATCATAAGGTATGATTATTAAAGGTATAAATGAAAAAATAAATTGTGATGTAGAATGGAGGTGGGCCCCTGAAATTCTATATAACTTCTAAGTTTCGTCAGACCAGTTATTTGATGCAAACTTTCTTTATAACTGAAACTATAAAAGATCTATGTCAGAGAAAATAGAACATGTAGCTTAAGTGGGAGTATGAAGAAGCAGAGAGAAAGATAATCCCTGAAAGTAGTGTAATGGTAATATGAAAAACCAGGTTGCACGCATAAGCTCATTTCTGCCTGTAGGAACGGAAGAATACGTTATTAAAGCAAGTTAAAATTGTTTAGATTGGCTCCCAGTAAATAGTTTTTACTACAGTTGCATGATAACAATTTCAAGACATCCTTGACATTATATGCAGAGGAGGTGGCTAAACTTAGAAAAAATGAGTGGGAATCAGGAGTTAGGAAAGTAGGGTCACAATATATAAAAAGTAAATAATTAACAAAGGGATAGTGGATTCAATTCTTATCCAGACATAAAATTATGAACTGATGGTCTGCTGACCCAGAGAAGTGATATGAGTGGCTAAGAAGTAATGGCATGGTGGGGAGACATTCCAGTTGTAGGAGGGAGAGAAACTAGCCCATGACTTCAGTGTAGGAGAACAGTATCAAATGTAGAACCAGATAGAACTAGGATTCCTGTCACTGTTTACTCACATAAATTCAAGGCTCCCCAAAATAAACAACCAAAGTTGTTTCAGTAATAGCAAATGTAAATGCCATTAAATGAGTCTACTATTGCCAAATTTGGCTGTATTTTGCTAAGTCTGGGATTGCATTCAGTCCTTTTCATGTTCCCTTTATGCTCATAAATACCCTTTGAAGTATAAATTATTATTCTCGTCTTATAAATGAACACACTTTCCCCAGAGCTATACAGACAATAATTGTCAGAAGCAAGATTCAAACCCACATCTTTGTGACTTTCCATCTCTTCCCTTGACTATTAATGCCAACTCCCTTTCTTACCAAATCTCTAATAAAGACAACAGAACATTTTGTAGATATAAATTGAATTCAAATCCCAATATCTGCACAGGAATCAAGATCCTTAAAGCATAGGAGACATGGGCACAAGTTGTCAAGATGGAAAATGTGGGAATGTTTAGGAAAATCAGCCATAATACTGTTTGAGGATATTTTTGTTATTATTATTACTAATATTTATCTTCTATCTACACATTGGGCCCAGGAAAAAGAGATTGGGAATATATGGGATTATTTTATATATGGATTGCAGGAAATCAATAAATCCTGAATACCTATGATAGTTCAAGTGCTGGAGTGTTTGCTTTGTAATTACATGTATTTAATCCACTGAGAATTATGAACTCTCATGCCATTTCATAGATGAGGAAACTAGGATTCAAAGACACTTAGTTCAAGGTCCCACTTCTTCTTCAAGGAAAACTAGGACATTCTGTTTTCTAAGCCTAAGCTCTTTCTACAACTGGGGCTCATTAGCTAGGATAAGGACAAGGACAGCAGGGAGTTGTGCCGATGGCTGAATCATTGTACTGCCCCCCTGTTGCTAGTGTGACAGTCACTGGAAATTGTTTGTAGGCTTTGGAGGAGTGGAAAAAGGCCATGACAAGATAATTAGAACCTGTCTGATAAATGTTGATCCCAGAATTCTAAGAACCTAGCAATTCCAACCATCCACCTTGGCTCTTTGAATATATTTATGGCATTTTTGTTTTGGGAAGCACAATATAAACAGGTGAGGGCAATAATAATATAATTAAAAATAAATTGTCATTAAATCATCATCAGATGGGTCAGATACCCAATGAGAAGTTGGAAATAGATTGAGCTATACATAATTATCACCACAAATACATACAAAAACAGAATGCAAGATTTGAGTCTAAAAGGAGGGGATGAATTTTAAAATATTTCAACAATGGAAAAGTTGGTCTGACTCTAAGATTTATAAAAATGTGAAGGAGGGTGATATCAGAGGTGTCTGAACCAGAGCAACTCCATCTTGAATAGGGGAAGGGTAAAATAAGGCTAAGACCAACTGGGCTGTACTCCCAGACAGGCATTCTAAGTCACAGGATGAAACGGGAGGTCAGCACAAGATACTGGTCATAAAGGCCTTGTTGGTAAAACAGGTTTCAGTAAAGAAGCCAGCTAAAACCCAGCAAAACCAAGATGGTGACAAGAGTGACCTCTTGCCATCCTCAATGCTACACTCCCACCAGCGCCATGACAGTTTACAAATGCCATGGCAACATTGGAAGTTACCCTATATGGTCTAAAAAGGGGAGGCATAAATAATCTACCTCTTGTTTAGTATATAATCAAGAAAGAACCATAAAAACGGGCAACCCTATGGAGTAGCCATTCTTTATTCCTTTACTTTCTTAATAAACTTGCTTTCACTTTATGGACTCGCCTCAAATTCTTTCTTGTGTGCGATCCAAGTACCCTCTCTTGGGGTCTGGACCTGGACCCCTTTCCAGTAACAGTTATAGTCACATATGAGGAAGTGGACACCACCTGTTTGGGTCTTTCTGCCCTTTCTACATGGGAATATTGTAAATATCTTGTTTTCATGTCAGGTACACTACAAATGTAGAAGAAATTATAAACTGTTTTTTTCTGTTATCTTTGAATAATAAAATTCTATAATTAACTCCTCTAGTTTTTAGTCCATGCCTACAATGAAACATTGTATTATGTTTTGGGCTACATATTAGTAAACTAACAGTAAAACATAAAGAAAGTACAGGTTATTTTAAGTGAACTTTTCAGAAAGCCAAAGTCACTGTTTGGTATTACATATATAATAATCTCCAAGCTTTACAGTTACCATGAATCATGCAGTCACTGAGACTGCATTTCTGAAGTTCATCACCATGATGATGGTGAACTATAAGTATATGCTATCCAGATGAAATGGCCTTTGCAAAATTGTAAAAGTGAGAGAAAGCTAATACAGTTAAGCGCATCTTGTTTCTAACCTCATAAGCTTACTGCCTGTGTTCAGACCTGCATGTAGGTCAAGCTAACTATGGAAAGAATATATAGCTAAAGCAAGGATGATCGTCTTCTTGAAACTAACTCCCTCCTTGTTTTGGTAGGGACCAAAACTACTTTTTGTAAGGCTAATAAAAGGCCACAAGGTTAGAATTATGATAGTGGCCTGAACTTTGTTAAATAGGCACATTGCTTGTTTAGCTTTCTTTCTATAGTCCTTACCACCGTGGAGTCATGTAACCAGATGTCCTAAGATTTGTAACTATACCAACTGCTCCTATAGATAATACCACTATTGTGAAACCTGAAGAACTGGTATTAAGATATTTTTTCAGATTTAGAATATTGGCAGACTAAGGGATGCCACCTGGATCTGTGACCCACACTAGGCTACTGACTCAACTGATCCTGTGACCCCAGGAACTGATTCAGCTGCAGGAAGACCATTTCAAGAACCCTGTGATTTCATCCCCAGCCAATCAATTGTCTCAGTACCCCCAGGCTCCTATTAAAGCACCCTTAAAAACTCTAGCCTCTGAATTCTCAGGGAGGTAGGTTTGAGAAATACCTCCCATCTCTTCACATGCCTGGCCCTGTGATTATTAAACTCTTTCTCTGCTGCAACTCCTGCTGCTCTTGGCGTATTGGCATTTCCAGGCAGTGGGCAAAAAGAATCTGTTAGAAAATTATACAGAGGACTCTTGCCTGGAAGCTATTAGAAGACTCCTGAGTGGGGCCTGGTCCACCATGTTGCAGCATTTCTTTTTTTTTTTTTTATTCTCACAAAAACATGTAATACTGATAAATGTGCCTAATGTTCTTAACCCCAAGTTTTTGATATGCTTCATGTAACCTAGCCTTCACCTCTGCAATGAGGAAGAATAGTGTTTAGCATCGGTAACAATATCTTTAAAGTCTCTTTTACAAACCCAGGATATAAATGTGTCTAAATAAACTAGTGACAAACTTTTTTTTCTATTCTTTCATTTTTTCTCCATTTCTAGAGCAGTTGGACATTTTTTCCCCACAGGGATGTGACCCTGGTGGTAGGTAGGTAGGTAGGTAGGTAGGTAAAGCTAAAGAACCAGCCCTACAAGTTCTAAAGTTTCAAACTGTTGGCTGGGCACAGTGGCTCATGCCTGTAATCCCAGCACTTTGGGAGTCTGAGCAGGCCGATTACTTGAGGTCAGGAGTTCGAGACCAGCCTGGCCAACATGGTGAAACCTCACCTCTACTAAAAATACAAAAATTAGCCAGGTATGGTGGCATATGCCTTTAATTCCAGCTACTCACGAGGCTGAGGGATGAGAATTGCTTGAACCCTGGAGGCGGTGGTTGCAGTGAGCTGAGATAGTGCTACTGCACTCCAGCCTGGGAAACAGAGGAAGACTGTATAAAAAAAAAATTCAAACTCTTAAGAACACTAACGAATTTCACATTTCCACATTTAGCAGAGAAAGCTTAGGATCCATGCTAGTATCTGGGTAGTTAGTATTCAGAATTATCTTGGATAGAGAACAGAGAGAAAATTAAATTATTAAACTTATCTCACTAATTAGTGTCTCGTAACCTGTGTCTTATTTGATCAAGATTATCAAAGCCCAAAGAGGACTTTGCAAGTAAAAAGGAGGTAACCTCAATTATGCAAGTTTTCCCTCGGTGTAACAGCCAATGTCCAAACAAGAAAAATTATACTACTCTGAATTTCTAAAACAGAGATAAATAATGGAGGAAAATATTTACTCCGTTGAAAGTACCTTCACAAAAATTATGACACTGTAAACAATTTGATATAGGAAAATTACGAACATGAAACAAATCTGACCTAATGGAGTCTATCTTGCTTCTAAACTCCAAGCTGCCCTTATTGATTCCTGAGCATAAGTCAAGCTAACTTTGGGAGGAATTTAGTTTATAGATTAACTTTAAAACAAAAATGATAACAGCCTTTTCCAGAAACAAGCCTCCTCCTTCTTTGAAGACCAACTAAACTGTCTTTGGAAAACAGCTAAGCCACTATATTAGAAACTATGGCACAGGAGTCATATAGCCAGAAACCACAATATTCCTAACCTTCCCAATTGCTCTTATAGATAACATCAGTATTGTCAAAGCTAAGTTTTATGTTTGAGATATTTTTCAGACTCTCCAATCTGATGGACCAGCTGACAGCACCCAGACCAATAAACTGGCTCAACTAGTTTTGTGATTCCGCCCAGAAACTGAAAATACCAGGAAGACAGCTTCAGCTCCCTTCAACTAATCCCCAACCCAATCAATTAGTATTCCCCATTCCCTAGCCATTCACTCACTAAATTATTCTTAAAAATCTCTAGTCTCTAAATTTTACGGAGGCTAATTTGAGTAGTAAACTCCAGTATTCTGCTTAGCTGACTCTGTGTTTATTAATCTCTTTCTCTATTGCAATACTGCTTTCTCAGTAAATTGGCTGTATCTGGGTAGTGGGCAAGAAGAACTCATTGGGTAATTATACAGTTGATGAAACTTACAAAGCCAAATTGGAGACGATCGGTGTGTAAGATTCTAGCAACAGAAGGCAGCTTCTATTATTCCAAGATTAAAAGAAAATAAAAAGAAGTGTATTAGCACACCAGTGGAAAATGACCAGGTGGGTCATTCAGTGGGAATGAGAGCCATGGAGAAAATGTGCTACTGCTACAGAAGCTTGTTGATGAAGACAAGAGAGATAAAGACCCTGGCTTTTTATTTTCTAAATTTCTAAATTTTAAATAGATGTTTTATTTATGAATAAATTTATATTTACAGAAAAGTTTAAAGATAGTATGAATGGATCCCACCTAATCTTCACCCAGTTTCCCCTGATGCTAACAAATATGGTACATTAGTATTAACTCATCTTCAGACTTTATTTTGATTTCACCAGTTTCCCACTAATGTTCTCTTACTGTTTCAGGATCCAGAGGAGGCTATCACAGTGCATATAGTCTTTATTTACTTTTGTTTTCACTTCTCCTGATTGAGATTTCCAGTGATTGAAACCAGGCAGAGACCAGCTGATGGAAGAGTTTGGAAATTGGAAAATGAAGCCTGTAGAGATAAATTCACCTATAATGAAGAGGAGAGGACGGGACATAACTCTAAGGATAAACAGGCATAAGATTACTACATCAAGTTACACTCTTTCATTTTTTGAAGTTTTAGATAGACCATACTTACACCACTAAAGCCACACCTGCATTATTAATCATCAGTACAACAGCCTTGAAAGTTAGGTGTCACTGTACTCAGGTCACAGAACCACTAATAAATACAAAATAAAACAGTCAGAATTTAACCACAAGTTTATTTGGCACTTCCCAGTTGTTATGTTGAAGTTCTGAAATTAGTATAATTGTTCCTTCACACTATAACCAGACATCAAATTTCATAGGCCGTACTAAATATATTATTGTTCTATTACTATAATTACATTTAGATAAATTCCTGCAATTCTCAGATACCTAGTTCATTCACCTACAAAATGAGAGGAACTTCCTGTGACCTTAAAGTTCTTACTTCAAACAGAGATAAAGCCTGTCCAAATTATGTTTATCTTTCAACAGCGTCCAAAGTTCAACTAGGAGTTGACGTTTTCACCATCTGTCCTGCTGGGTGAAGTGATTATATACCATGCTCATACAGATAGTCTTGAATGGCTCACCTTGGTCATTCAAGATGTATATATCAAAAGTGAATTTGACCCTTTTGCAAAAGAAGAAGCAAAAATGTAAACATGTTATGGGATCATGAAGCTTAATTTATTTGTTAACTTACCCAAAATGTGCTAGCATCACATTGATTCTCTGCATTCAAATAATCATCTACTGGATCAAAGCCATCAGGACAGCAGTAATGGAAAAAGGCAGAGATAAGTAGAAGGGACTGCTTTGTCTGTGGTTAACCACATACTGTATTTTTGCTGTTCTGTATCCATTTTTGTTGAATCCAATAAAGTTTTCATTTTTAGTGCCCAAGCCTTGAAATTGTTATGTTTGTTGCAAGCAAACCACAAAGCACTGAAATCAATTCCCATAGCTTGAGAGACATGACATTTTTATGTATAGACTTTTCAAATGTTTAATGGGCCAAGGTGGTGACTTAAAATCTCATCTTCATTACATCTCCCCCAACCCTTTCTTGTAATCATCATGTAAAATAGACAAAAACCAATGAGGAAAATATAGTAATGAATAACAACGCTACATTGAATGGGTTCCAGGTCAACCTCCAGGACTGCTGGTAAAGTTTTCAAATCCCATACAAGTCATTAGAGGTGTCACTGAGTGTCAAGGGTCACAGGTCCTAGAATACATTAGTTGCCTACTTCCTTCCACTTTCTCATAACATTCCAATTTAGTCCAGATATTTTTCCCTCCCAAGCAGTTCAGCCTTTCTTTAAAGCGGTTCAACCTTATTATTTGAAGTCAATTATGATATTCTTACATGCTCTGACAGTGACTGGTTTAGTCACATACATGGACACAATTTTCCCCAATGAGAAAACATGACAGAGACTCTGGAAAAAGGGATTTTACTCAGTACAAAGCTGCTTTTCTTCCACTTGGATTTGTCAGATCTGGATATGACAACTATGATTGCTGCATCCCTCTTGAAATCATGAAGGCAGCCCGCCAAAGATCAACACAGAATGGCAGATGAGAAAAATGTGAAGACTGTATCTGCAATGATGCTTTCAGTATCTTAATTCACAAGATGTAAGAGAGCCCTAGAGTTGGATGAATGTGAACATAAATATTTTTGATCTTTATGTTTCATAGACTTTGAATTTCTGGTTGGTTGTGGTTGGTACTTTATTGCATAATGCAAAGAAAGGCATCTAATACAGTGTCTGACACATAGTAAGCTTTTAATAAGTCTTGGTGCTCTTCCCTGTTTTCCTTACTGGACACCAGGCTACTCCAGGCCAGGTCATATCATTACTGGACCTTACAAGAGTAATCAAAATTGTGTGTTTGAATAAATGTCCGGGAATTTGGATTGCAGAGATATAAGAAATGAAATATATATTCGAAGGGAGCTTTACTTCTTTCTGCCAGGGAAAGAGGAACTCATTTCTAGAAGTTTCTCTTCATTAACTGTGAGGCTTCAACATCAACACAGAATGTAAGAAAAGGAGAGGAAACAAAGCAAATCACACAAAACTTCCAAAGAAGGCAATGAAAAAGAGAAAGGACACACTGCCTCAATAAGAATGACAATTACAGGAAATTTATTATGTGCAATTACCTGTTCCCTGCTTACAGACACTAGTCTGAGAGCATCTCCATTTATTCCCACTTACTAATGTCAGAACTGTAATTTTCACTTGTCCTCTTCCCTTCCTTCATGAATGACCTCTTTTGCCTGACTGTTGACTTCCCTCTCCCTGTTGTTCCACTAATGGCATTCTATAGAATATCTTGACAGAGATGTTTGGCATGACTGGAAGGCTAGTAGAGTAGACTCACTGTGATTTCCAATCTCTCTTAGGAGCAATTTGCTCCTCAACCTTCCATGGACATGACCAGCCCAGGTCAGTACTTATTGCCTTGCTCTAAGTGGAGACACAGTTCTGTTTTCTGGTCTAGTGTCATTATTGGAATTGGATGTCTAATCCAGAGGATGGACCGCTGTTATTTGTCATAAACAAAGACCCTCTTGTTTGAGAGACTCAATTTTGTTGATGATTTACTGCACTGACTTTGAATACCAAATTTCTAGCTATGTTCCAAAGTACTAGTATAGTTTGTGAAAAGACATGTCACAATGGTGGCCAAACAGGGGCACAATGAACAGAATTTGCCTGTTTCCAAAGCAACAAGGAGTGTTGTTACTTCTTTTAGCCCTTTGTGTGTAATTACATGCACAAATAGTTTAACTGACCCATTCTCCATTTTTGAAGGTTGATGAATTTAACTGATTAGATTCTAGAATAGTAAAAATGGCTTTGGAAGAAATGTTAAGTAATGACATGGGACTGGCAAAACATTTTGTTAGGCCACTTTTCCTAATATTTTCTGTTGGAGGTGTTTGGTGATTTTAATATAAGTTCTCAGAAGAAATATCTTGCTGTGTATGCCCTCCCTCCTGTGTTTGACTATCTCTGTCTTCATTTTAAAATTGGATGCAATGTTTATGTCTTACCTGGAGAAAATTTTCTGGGAGATTGTTTCAACCTCTGCACACAACTGAGGAATTTAGAAATATAGGTATCTGTGGCTGTAGCTCAGAACGTTTTCTGGGGAAACCTGAAAGTAAGAGATTTTAATATCTGTAGTCAGACAAATTTAGGTAAAAAATCTGGATCAGATTTTTTAATAATCTACAAAATTCAGATTATTCGCTGAATAAACTTAAGCAAGAGTCACAATTTCAAATACCCCTGTCCCTGTATTCTAGGTTACAAATCTAACTATCCTAAAGTTTATTATTAGAAGTAAATTGCTTAATCAGACTCTGGCACTCATGATAGTGGACATTCAAAATATGTTACATATAAAAGACCCTTAAGTTAAAGTCGAAAAAGTTCTGGGAAAGCTTTCCAAGTAATTTATATTTTTCTTGGAAGGAATCAGTGGGGAAAAGGTATATACAGAGGATACCTTTCTAAACTATAAGCTATAAGAAAAATAATTATTAAAAATTATAAAAGTACACTTATAATTATCTCCTAATCTACTGAGTATTAATATATGGAAGAGCCACCTCTTTGGATAAAATGAGTTTGAAAGCAGGAGGACTAACAATTTTTACGCTGAGGTTCTGGGTATCATCTAGGTGTATTGCATGCACAATTGTGTGAGCCTTTTTAGATAATATAGCATGTACATGTTGTTAAATGTTATATGTACAATGAGTACTATTTTTGCATAATTACCTTTGGAACTTTTAATTAAATATATATACATGTATTTTGAGACAGAGTCTTGCTCTGTTGCCCAGGCTGGAGTGCAGTGGCACTATCCAGGCTCACTTCAACCTCTGCCTCCCAGGTTCAAGCAATTCTCCTGCCTCAGCCCCCAGATTAGCTGGGATTACAGGCACGTACCACCATGCCTGACTAATTTTTGTATTTTTAGTAGAGAGGGGGTTTCACCACTTTGGACAGGCTGGTCTTGAACTCCTGACCTCAGGTTATCCATCCGCCTCAGCCTGCCAAAGTGCTGTGATTACAGATGTGAACAACTGCACTTGCCAACTTTTATTTAAGTATAATTTTAATACAGTAAAATTTATTGTTTTAAGTTTTGACAAATACAATTGTAAAACGTCACGATATAAAACAGTTTCAGTAGCCCCCCAATTTCCTCTTGCTTTCCTTTGAGGTCAACACCCTCCTTCCCCCACCATTAATCACTGTTTTGTGCCGTTATCTTTTGCTGCTTCTCAGAATTTCATAAAAATGGAGTTTACACTGTGTAGCCTTTGTATCTGGCTTTTTTCTTGTAGGACAATGAACATGAGATTCATCCATGCTATTTCCTGTGACTGTTGGTTTTTTATTTTTATTTAATTTTAATAGTAGAGTAGCATTCCATTGTATGGATATTCTGTCTGTTGAAGGATATTAGGGTTGTTTTCAATTTTGGACAATTGTGAATAAAGCCATTATAAATAATTGGATAGAGATTTCTGTGTAAACATTTGCTTTTATTTTACTTTGGTAAGTGCCTAAGAGTGGAAATGCCAGGTGATTAGTAATTGTATGAAAGATGCTGTCATTATTAATTTTATATCAACTTGGCTGGGTCATGGTGCCCAGATATGTGGTCAAAACCTGTCCTGGATGTTTCTGTGAGCCTGAAATCAACATTTAAATCAGTGGACTTTCAGTGGATTGTCTTCCATAATGTAATTTGTCTTCTTCCAATCAGTTGAAGGCCTGAGTAAAACAAAAGACTACTCTCCCCAGAGCAAAGGATAATTAATTATTCAGCAGATGACCTTCAGACTCGAACTTCAATATTGGCTCTTTCCTGAGATTTTAGCCTGATGGCCTTTGGATTTGAGCTGTAGCACATTCTCTTTTCTGGTTCTGCAGCCTACCAGCCCACCCTGCAGATTTTGGACTTGCCAGCCTCCATAATTGCCTGAGCCAATGCTTTAAATCATTTTCTCCATACATACACATTCTTTTGGTTATATTTCTCTGAAGAACTCTGACTTATACAGTTGCTGTACCACTGTGTATTACTATGCACATATAGTGTAGAGAATTCCAGTTGTACCATATCCTTGTCGGCACTTGGTATTATCAGTGTGTTTTGTTTCTAAAGCAAACTATTACAAAATATATGTAATGGTATCTTATTGTGGTTATGGCTAGTTTACAACCCTGCATATTATAGAATTATAATTCATTATAAAGCAATAATACTGAATATAAATACGTTAAACTTTTATAGCATTGAGTAGTTTACCAAGTATGTTCACTGTATTATAGTATTCATTCTTACAGGTCAATGGCACTAGGTAATTGATTTTTATTTTATTTTATTTTATTTATTTTATTTTTTGCAATAGGATCTTGCTGTGTCTCCCAGGTTAGAGTACAGTGGCATCATCATGGCTCACTGCAACCTCAAACTACTTGGGCTCAAGCATTCTCCCACCTCAGTCTCCCAAGTAGCTTGGATTACAGGCACATACCACCACGCCCAGATAGTTTTTTTTTTTAATTTTTTAGATATGAGCTCTTGCTATGTTGCTCAGGCTGGTGACAATTCATCTTTTTATCCCTAGGACAAAAGTGTGCTTTGTTGTTAGAAGTTGCTTAAGACTTTCGTGTGGAGTGAACAACACAGTTAGTAGGTACAATTATTAGTCCTATTCTATAGATGACTACACATGAGTTTATAGATTTCATGTCCCTTACCAAAGTTGAGATAACAAGTTATAGAACTAGGAATCAAACTTTATTTTCTTCTCTCCAAAGACTATAGTTTGCACTCTTGGTACTAAACCACACTCTGTGCTGTAATATTTATAGCGAAGCTCACATCAGTTATCATGTATTATCTATCAGATCATTAAAGTCTAGAATGTCTTGATTTTTCTTTTTAAAATAAAAGGCATATAACAAGTTTCTCTCTTTAACATTTAAGACAGGTGCAGAATGTAAGAATGATTTCCGGGAGAGTAACCATGATAGCTACATCACCAGATGAAATAAATTTTCAGCTCCATTATAATCTTATGAGGCCACCATCCTACATGTGGCCTGTCATTGACCACAACATTGTTATATGGTGCATGACTATACGTATAAAGTTTCATTGTGATACCCTATCTCTATATAAATGTCATTGTAATACTCCAAAAATTGAATGGTGCTAATTTTCCAGTAGTCCCATTCCTATAAACAGTGAGTGACCATAGTGAACTGAATAAGCTCCTCCACATACTACTTAGAAGGAATAACGTATCAAGTTGTTTCTCCTGCCACGCAAGAGCTGCATACGACTGACTGCCACCTGGACCCTGTTGTTATGAGCATTTTGTAAAGTTCTCAAGGTCTGAGCAATGTTTTTTGTTATCTGAAGGATGTATCAAAACTGAAGCAGACATGTTCCCCATGGGGTGCTTATCTAAGGAGGCTTTGGATAAAATTGAGGCTGTGCAGGTGTGTGTGTGTGTGTGTGTGTGTGTGTGTGTGTGAGTGAACTGGGCAGTTGGGGAAACATGGTGCAGTCTTTGTGTATTTGTATGACTGTGTCAAAGTTGTTCTGATAAAGTACATACACTAGAATTATTTGAGCCTAGAAGGCTGGGGTATCAAGAGCAAAACAGATATTGTAGAAATATATATGAAGGAAAAAATACGTGAACCTGATAAATCACTACGAAAGCCAGTTCAGCTGGGATCTAATTATTCACCAAGGCAATTTCCAGAGCAGAGAGGATTATCCCAAGCACGCTTCCCATAGAAATTTCAACTAAAAAGCTTAGAATGGATACAGAAGTAGACAGTAGACTCAGTATGAAACATGATGAAGGTTAATAAAACCACTTTCAGAGCAATATGGAGTTATTATGTATCAAGGATTCTAAAAATGTCATAGTCCTAACCTAGTAAATTCTTTTTAAGACAGCTATATAAATAAATTACCATATACAGTATGAAAAATACATATATAAACACAGAACCAGAAAGGACTAATTTATGATAATATACTCATAACACAGACAATGGAGCAAGCATCTATTATTGGATGTTTTAGTTAACTAAATTTTGGTAAATTTAGTATATAAAATATTATAGTAGTGTATATGTTTTGTTTATGTTAAAATATCATAAAGCCATTCCAAATATTATTTATATATTAGATTAAGAGTTTAGAATAAAGCATTATATAATGCATGTGTTAATAATCAGCTATGTTAGAACTATGCATAATGTTATATGTATTAAAAGAAAACACTGATCTCAACTTTGGTTTACTAAGAGTGATTTATCTTTTTTTATCTTTTTTGGCTTGTAAATAGTAATATGGAATTTACATCTATGTTTGTTATAGTGAAGAAAACTTAAAATGCAATGTATAAAACAAAAATAAAAGAACGGTGATTCTGGTGAAAAAAATGTAAAAATGTTCATTAAATTCTTTTGAACCACATGTAAACAAATCTAATTATTAACTGCCAAGAAAACATCAGAATAGCCCTAGGTGATTGATAGCCCTTACTATCTTCTAGAATGAAGAGAGAGGGAAGAGGAAGCATTTAAGAAAATACACAAGAAAGAAATGTGAGGAGAGGAGAAAGGCTTGAACATTGCTAAATAATCCTACCAGAGAGAATTTAATGACCTAACAGCAGCATTCCTTCCACCATCCATGATCAAGAAATGAGGGATTATAAGAAAAAGTAATCCTCCTAATTTATCTTTGACAAATTTCATGCTTAAGTAAGATTTGGGTTATTATTATTTTTATTTTGTTTGGGGAGTGGGGGTTCCACAGGAAGCAAGGGCAGGATTGAGGTTCGAAACCTGGGCTAAAAGAGGCTTCCTGAGTTCTAGCCTATTCCTCATCTTTTACTCATGTTAAAAATCACAAGGATCAGTCTATCATTGATGGGCATTTGGGTTGGTTTCAAGTCTTTGCTATTGTGAACAGTGCCGCAATAAACGTACCTGTGCAAGTGTCTTTATAGTAGAATGATTTATAGTCCTTTGGGTATATACCCAATAATGGGATTGCTGGGTCAAATGGTATTTCCAGTTCTAGATCCTTGAGGAATTGCCACACTCTCTTCCACAATGGTTGAACTCATTCACACTCCCACTAACAGTGTAAAACCTTCCCTATTTCTCCACAGCCTCACTAGCATGTGTTGTTTCCTGACTTTTTAATAATTGCCATTCTAAATGGCATGAGATGGTATCTCATTGTGGTTTTGATTTGCATTTCTCTAATGACCAGTGATGATGAGCTTTTTTTCATATGTTTCTTGGCCACATAAATGTTTTCTTTTGAGATATGTCCATATCCATTGCCCACTTTTTGATGTTTTTTGTTGTTGTTGTTTGTTTTTTTCTTGTAAATTTGTTTAAGTTCCTTGTAGATTCCAGATATTAGCCCTTTGTCAGATGGACAGATTGCAAAAATTTCCTCCCATTCTGTAGGTTGCCTTTTCACTCTGGCGATAGTTTCTTTTGCTATGCAGAAGCTCTTTGCTTTAATTCAATCCCATTTGTCAATTTGGCTTTTGTTGCAATTGCTTTTGGTGTTTTAGTCATGAAATCTTTGCCCATGCCAATGTCCTGAATGGTACTGCCTAGGTTTTCTTCCAGGGTTTTTATGGTTTTAGGTTTTACATTTAAGTCTTTAATCCATCTTGAGTTAATTTTGTATAAAGCATAAATAAGGGGTCAAGTTTCTTTTTTGTGCATATGGCTAGCCAGTTTTCCCAGCACCATTTAATAAATAAGAAATCCTTCCCCTATTGCTTGTTTTTGTCAGGTTTGTTGAAGTTCAGATGGTTGTAGATGTGTGGTGATATTTCTGAGGTCTCAGTTCTGTTCCATTGGTCTATATATCTGTTTTGGTACTAATACCATGCTGTTTTGGTTACTGTAGGCTTGTAGTATAGTTTGAAGTCAGGTAGCATGGTGGCACATGTATACCATGGAATACTATGCAGCCACGAAAAAGAATGAGTTCATGCCCTTTGCAAGGATATGGATGAAACTGGAAGCCATCATTCTCAGCAAACTAACACAGTAACAGAAAATCAAACACCACATGTTCTCACTCATAAGTGGGAGTTGAACAAGAAGAACACATGGACACAGGGAGGGGAACATCACACACCAGGGCCTGTTGCAGGGTTGGGGGCAAAGGGAGGGAGAACATTAGGACAAATACCTAATGCATGCAGGGCTTAAAACCTAGATGACGGGTTGATAGGTGCAACAAACCACCATGGCACATGTATACCTATGCAATAAACTTGCACGTTCTGCACATATATTCCAGAAATTAAAGTAAAATTTAAAAAATTTGAAAATTTTTAAAAAAGAAATAAGTCAATCTGAAAAGACTACATACTATACTATTTCAACTACATGACATTCTGGAAAAGGAAAAATTATGGAAACATTAAAAAGACCAGTGTTATCAGGGATCTGCTGCAGAGAGAAAGGGAGAGATGAACCGGCATTTTTGGGGCAGTGAGACTATGCTGTAATGGTGGATAAATGTCATTACACATTTGTCAAAAGCTCTAGTATATACAACACAAAGATTCACTTTACCATAAAGGACAGATTTTAGTTAATAATAATGTATCAACATTGGCTCATCAATTGTAACAAACATGCCACACTAAGGTAGAATGCCAACAGGATAAACTGTAGGTGAGGCAGAGGGGAGTGAGGGGTATACGGAACTGTACTTCTGTAAATCTAAAACTGCTTTAAAAAATAAAGTCTAGTAGTTAAAAAAGAATGCACTAATAAAGAACAATATGAATAAAAAACAAAATCACAGGGATCAGATAAATGTCTGCTCTGACTCATTCTTAGTGTTATTTTGCAAATTACATTATGAATGTGAGTTTCAGAAATGTAGTGGGTTCCTACTGCAGGGTTTTTCTAGACATCCAAATGTATACAGCCCATCACTGGGTTGTGATGACTGGACTTACTCTTAGGAAAGAGTTAACAGAAACCTTTGTCGGAAGTGGGCCTTCAAGTACCACAGAAAGATTTTAAATGGGGTTTGAAGTTGCCCAATTACGGCTTTTAAATGAATCAAAGACAAAGTCTCATAATCTTCTTAGGACATGGTCTGAGGCTCTTTGGCGGGAAGAAGATGAGAACAAAGAGCAACGGCTTCTCTATATGGATTATTAAGTAAGAAATAGCACCGGACATCACAGGCATCGGAGTAAACAAGCTCTGTTCATCCCTTGTCTTGATTTCCTTTTTGGTTTTGTTTTTGTTTTTTTCAAATGAATCCAGAAAATGCACAAAAGGCTTTCACTTCAAGGGAGTTGAAAGAATGTCCTTTGCCTCTTTGTTGCATTTGGCCTTTGTTCAGTGGACAATCAAAGAAGCAGAGATTTTTTTTCTTCCTGAGCATTAAATTTCATTTCTCTAAAATAACTATTAAAAATTTAAATCTCTGAAAAATAAGTCTAAAGAAACTTAAGTTTTGTTTTTGTGAATGTAATTATAAATCCTAAGTATCTGTATAGATTCCAAGTATAATGGCTTCAAAACATGAGCAAACTCTCCCCAACCAGAATGGCCAGCTTGTTTTGCATACTTTCTGGGTGAAAACTGCCTTATGTATTAGAAGAAGCCGACAATTACCATACAGAGAGGGAGTGTCTATCTATTCTTTGAAGCCATATCTTACATAAAACTTGCCTTTTAAAAGGAGTAATAATTTCAGTAGTAGTGACCTTTCCCTGTCCCAAACCTCCCCATGGCTTTGTTTACTTCCTAAGACATTTTATTTGACCCTATGATTTAATACCCATTTCTGAGGAAAACAAATGAGTAATGAGCATACATCACCATATATATTATCAAGTATTGTCCTACAAATATATTCTGCCTCTCTCTCTGCCTTTTTTTTGGAGTTGGTGGGGAGATCAAGCTAGGATTTCAACTCAGACAGTCTAACTCTGCAACTTGCTTTGTTTCGTTTTGTTGTAGTTTGAAGTTTTCCCCCCAATTTTTTATTGTGGCCAAATACACAAAACATGAAATTTACAACCATAGCCATGTTAAAGTGTCCCATTCACAGTATTAAATACATTCATGATGTTGTGCGGCCACCACCATCCATCTCCAGAACTCTTTTCATCTTGTAAAAGTGAAACTCTGCACCCATCAAACAAAAAGCCCCCATTCACTTTTTCTTTAGTCCCTGGCAACCACCATTCTACTTTCTAGCTCTATGATTTTGACTGCTCTAAGTACCTCAGACAAGTGGAATTACATAGTTTCTGTCTTTTTGTGACTGGCTTATTTCACGTGGCATAATGTCCTCAAGATTCATCCATGTTGTAGCATGTGGCAGATTTTCTTTCCTTTTTAAGACTGTAAAATGTTATAGCTGCTATAAAAAAGTATGTCTGTTCTTTAAAAAAGTAAAAATAAAATTGCCATATGATCCAGCAATTCCACTCTGAGTGTATACCCAAAATAATTGAAAGGAGGGTCTTAAATAGATATTTGTATACCCATGCCTATTATTCACATTAAAAAAAAAATGGAAGCAACCCAAGTGTCTATGGACAGATGAATGGATAAGTAAAATGTGGTATTTATATACAATGAAACATACATAGTCTCACAATTTTGATAACAACTCCTGAGAAGTCTTAGCATCCCCATTTTACCAATAATGAAATCTCAGGGTTACAAAGTTTAACTCTTATAAAATCACATAACTAGTAGGTGTCAGAGTCGGGACTTGGACTAGTTCTATCTTTATCTGTAACAATAGCAATCATTTTACTCTTTTAATCTAAGGGTGGCAACTATGTCTTATATTCACAGATCCTATCATCTATATGTCAGTTCTGCCAGGATCTTTGCTATGGAAATACAAGTGGTGCAAAACGATGAGATTTCCATACACTAAATGCTACTAAATACTAACAGAACATGGGAAGGCTTATACATATCTATGTTTAAGTAAAGAACATGTAAATGTTGGAAGCCTGCACCACCCAATTTAATTGAGCTAAAATATAAATATTTTCTTACCCAATAGCTTACTAAATCACTTGGAAAAAAAGGCTGTTGTCATTTGCTTGTTTGTTTTTGAGTGATTCTCTTCTTGTGCTCTACTTAAAAAAGAACATGGCATAGCACAATGAGCATGGGATTTGGACAATACTTGATTTAGGCTGCAATAAATTAGTCACTTACTCTATGTGTATTTTTGTGTAAGTTATTGTTTTGCCTTAATATTATTCACCTTACCTTCACATGAGAATGACAATAATTGCTTTACAGGGTTATAATGAGTATTAAATGAGATAATGAATAAAAAGCAATCGATGCTGAATACATGAAAGTTTCACAGTTTATAAATTATAGGAACCCTTTGTACTAATTTTTAAGTACAATATAAAATTCCAGTTTTATGCTATTTTCAAATAATATGTCTCCTCTTGTAGTTTGAATAATCATGTTTTATATGTTCCTGGTGCCTGCTACAGTAAATATCACATGGGGTTATTAAATTACTACTAAATAAATTTAGTGTCACTAGACTTCAATATTGCCTTGAAAGGGGAAACTTTTGAGATAATGCCTCTATTGCCACCAAAATAACTATCTCCGTCCTAGTTATTTTTCCCCCATTGGCTTTGACAAATCCATGCTGGGGCATTAACTCACTACTTAGAGTATATATATCTTACTTTCTCAAAATTAAGGGGCTTTACCTTGGATCAGATTCTCCAGAAGCAGACCCTGAGATGAGTCATTTATTAAGACAGTGCTCCAAAGAGAAATCGATAAAATAGCAGGGAAGACAGGAGAAAAAAAAAGAAGCAGCCAAGTAAGGATGCAATTTTAGGCAGAGTCTCAGCCTCAGCCTAATACCTCAGTTAGCTCTGAAGTATAGATTACATATTAAAATTCACCTAAACTCTCTGAGAGAAAGCCGGGCTTTTATAGTCTTGAACCAACCTCCTACTGGATTTGAGCTGTCTCTGATTCGAGGAAGGGGGATTGTAAACAGCGAAACAATTCTAATTTCTGTGCATGCATTCAGAAACCGCTTCAGTAGCCAATGACAGTCAGATAAGAAGTTTGTAGGTACAAAATAGAAGACACACAGATTGCCAACAGGCACACAGATCAGGTAAGAAGGAACAGAGGAACCATGAACAGAGCACTAATAATGTCTACTACTGACCTCAAAACAGACCTCAGTTTGTTCCAGTGTCTGTTTCATGATTGCTTATGGAAATTTCATGATGAGAGTCCCAGACAAAGTTTAACACTAATGTGTTTTTCTTTTTTCCCCCTGTTAAAACTCATCCTTTCAGGGAAGAGATCAAACCCTAACAAGAGGGAAAAACTTTGGTGTAGAAATACGTGGAGCTTTTGAAAATTTACAGACCAGAACCATTCATCTGTCTAGACATACAGGTTTATACTAAGACCAAACCTGCTCTGTTCCAGACTTCCTGGGCTGGTTCACATGGCAATGATACTCCTAACAAAGTTCACATGGGTTTTCTTGGTTTTCAAAGTCTTTTTCCCTTTATTATCCTAATTGAGCCTCTCATAGTCCTGAGAGTCTGCCAGGTCCGGTATTAGTGGTTACATTTGGCAGCCAGGGAAACTCAAGTTCAGGGAGGTGATGTGATTTATTCAAGGTTGCAAAATAGTGAAGTGGAAGAACTAAGTCACGTATTTATCATATTGTCTTCAAATCTAGTTTTCTTTCCTTTTATATGTTAGCAAGCACGAATGTCAGCTCAAAACATTATGTGTCCACAAATACAACTTCATAGTTTCTATTGCATTTTCATTTTTAGCTCTGATGCCAGTCCCCATAGGCCAGTGAAATGGATCCAATAAGACATAACTAACTTCAGTTTCTGTACAGTCTGCCATGTCCCCATCATTTCCTCTCTCAAAATATTTAGCAGAGATTGGTGCACTGATGAATAATTATTTATATTCTCATTGGTCATTAAGCTCTGTGATGGCAAAATCTTGACTGGATGCATTTTGTTGACTTTTGAAACCCTACTTCCTATCTCCATGCCAGGCACAAGATAGATGCTCACTAGGAAACTGCTGTTGAATGAAGCAGTAGATCAAGGCCATAGCAGAACATCAATAAACATTAGCTCTCATTCATCCCCTTATTTCCAAGCCCCAAGCCTGTTCCAATTTCTGCCTCATATTTATCTATGGATATTTTATCACTTCAGGTAATGAATCCTTCACCTAAATGTTACTTCCCGAGGTCATTTACAACAGTTTCATGAGGGACTAATATTCCTTGTCCTGGCCACTCTCTTCATGACTCAATTTGAGGGTATTTTTTTCTTTTTTAATTTCAACTTTTATATTAGATACAGGGAGTACATGATTTTGTTACATGGAAATATTGTGTGATGCTAATGATTGGATTATGAGTCCCATCACCCTGGTAGTGAGCATAGTACCTGATAGGTTGTTTTTTAACCCACCACTCTCCCAAGCAGTTTTCTTAATAAAGCTCTCTTTCATTCATTTGTCATCCCATTAACAGAGGGTAGGGTCAGGGGTTAGAAAGTAAAACAGCAACCAATGATCGGGTTATATATACATATATGAATGTCTAACTATCAGTGACACACAGAATAGGATTTTTCTTATATCCATTTCATATATAATAATAGTTTACCTATTATATAGCAGAGAGAATGGCACCATGCTGACTTAGACATAAGCTCTCTCCTTGAGGAAAATACATTCTAGAAAAAAATAAACGAAAGTATACAAAAATAATTTTAAGAAAATCTGTCAAGTGATATTGTATGATATGTCCTGTGACTATGAACACTAATAGGATGGGCAAGTAGTTTACTGTCACCATAGCCAAAGATGATTTCATACCCACTTCTAATCTAAGCCCCAGCTCCAAAATTTAGTAACTGTTAAGCAGTAAGTAAGGTATGGATGATATCTCTGCAAGAGGAAACTGCATGAACAATGATACTCGGGAGGCTTTAAAAACTGGTGATGAGTAAGCTGAGTTTAAAAAGATGAGTGGGCCAGGCGTGGCAGCTCACACCTATAATCCCAGCACTTTGGGAGGCCGAGGTGGGTGGATCACCTGAAGTCAGGAGTTCGAGACCAGCCTGGCCAATATGGTGAGACCCATCTCTACTAAAAATACAAAAATTAGTCAGGCTTGGTGGCATGATCCTGTAGTCTCAGCTACTTGGGAGGCTGAGACAGGAGAATTGCTTGAACCCAGGAGGCAGATGCTGCAGTAAGCTGAGATGGCGCCACCCAGCCTGGGTGACAGAGCAAAGTTAGACTCCATCTCAAAGAAAAAAAAAAGAAAAGATGAGTGGACATTAGCTAGTTAGGTAAATGAAGAAAGGGCCGAGGAAATGGGGAAAGGGGAAGCATAGGATGTAACGGTGTGAACGGGAACCATGTGGGGTTCGTTGTTACTGAAGTTTGAATTAGAAGGACAAGCTGTGACTGGAGTTAAGGCTAGAGGGGAACTTAGGTGCTGGGCCTGACAGTTTGCATTCCACGCTAAAGAGTTTGAACTTTATCTTGGGTGGCGGGGAGTGGAGTTGTTGTTCATAGCCTGATTTTCCAAAATCTTGGTGAAGAATCCATAGAGTTATTTTGGCCATGAAAAGACTAATGTTCCAAACCTCTCTCTCTCTCTTTTTCTCTCTCTCACACACACACACCCCCAAAACACACATGCATACACACACACACACACACACAAATACATAATCTCTTCCCAGTACATAAAGGACTTTCTAGTCTTATTGAAGTTCAAATAATTTCAACATACACTTAGTTCTTAAGAGAAAATAAGAAAGAGTAGATATGCAAAAAAGACTTGAGATGATGCAAAATCAAAGGTACAAATATAATTGTTGCGGGTATTCACAGTAATATAAAGAAGGAAAGGGTGTGTTTAAGTGGAGAGGTATGCTAGGAAGGTATGTTTGAGGTTCAGGTAAAGTTTGTCTGTGGCTGGAGCACAGGTAAACTGGCCCAGTAGGTGGGACCATGTTTACTGTCACAGGTAATTTTGTAATTTTCTTGAAGAAGTAGGAGAGGAGAGGTTTTCAGAAATTTAAATAGAATAATGATAAAAGCACGGGTTTGCATTATAGAACGACTACTTATTTCAAGCAATTTGGAGAATGGGTGCCCTGTTAATTGACTGGAGGCAGAGTGCACTAAGTGTGCCCTCAAAACAGTCCATACTAGAGATAATTAGTTTTGAATTAAAATAAGCATGAAAAAAAATAAGCATGAGGGGGGACAATATTTCTCACATACGTTGAAGAAAAATTAGGCCGAGTATGGTGGCTCACACCTGTAATCCCAGTGCTTTAGGCGGCTGAGGTGAAAAATATCTCTTGAGTTCAGGAGTTTGAGATCAGCCTGGGCAACATAGCAAAACTCCATCTCTACTAAAAATAAAAATTAAAAAAATTTAGTCCCAGCTACTCAGGAAGCTGAAGCGAGAGGATCACTTGAGCCAAGAGGTTCAAGGCTGCAGTGAGCTATGATCACAGCACCGCACTCAGGCTGGGCAATAGAGAGAAACCCTGTGGTTCAGGGAGTAAAGAAAAAAAAAAGGAGGGGAGAGGAAAGGAAAGGGAAGGAAAGGGAAGGGAAAGGAAGGGAAAGGAAGGGAGGGGGAGGGGAAGGGGAGGTGAGGGGAGTGGAGGGGAAGGAAGGGAAAAGGGGGAAGGGGGGATGGGGGAAGGGGAAGGCAGGATGGGGGAAGAGGAAAGGGGGGAAGGGGGGAAGGGGGGAAGGGAAGGGGAAAAGAAAAGAAATTAGCAAAATTCAGAAATTAATTTAATATGAGGCTATTTAAAGAATATCACAATAATGTTCAATTTGGTAGCTGGATTGCCTGTGTGGGACTCCTTATCAAGATACATAGCACATGGAAGACCCCTTTAAGTTACGTTTTTAGGCTATTTTAGGGTGTATAGTATAGTTTAGTGCTATTGCGTTTCTGTCAGACTAAGGGCCCAGTGGATAGAATTTGCCTTAATCCAGTCACCCTTTCCCTCTCTTGATCTCCCAGGGAGAGATATCATGAAGACATGCTCAGTGGGAAACCCTGTGTCACTTTCTTCTTATTATATGAGAAAATACTGATTGCAGAACTCTGGAAAATGAGGAAGGGGGATGTGCTTTGTACATGAGGTAGAAGGTGAATTACCATTGCCTTAGTTTGGGTGACTATAACAGAATACTATAGAATGAGTGGCTTAAACAACAAACATTTATTTCTTACAGTCTAGAGGCTGGAGGTCTGAGATCAGGATGCCAACATGGTCAGGTTCTTGAAGAGGGTCCTCTTCCTAGTTTATAGCTAGCTGTCTTTTCTCTGTATTCTCACATAACAGAGAGAGAGAGAGAGTAGGCTTTCTCATGTCTTCTTTCATAAGGCCACTAATCCCATTATCAGGGTTTTACCTCATGTCCTAATTGTCTCTGAAAGGACTCTTCTCCAAATACCATCACATTGGGGATTAGAATTTCAATATATAAATTTGCAGGGAGCACAGACATTCAGTCCATAGCAACCATTTCCCTAAATCTAAAGTTTAACCTAATCATGTCTCTAGAACTTGAGACCACTGCACAGCCAGTGCACAGGCTAGAGGGAGAGAAAAGGGAGTTATACATTAAAGAAGATAAGAAATAAGAAAATAAGAAATAATAAGAAATAAGTTAAATATTTGATGGCTGTGCCTGATCTGAGAGAGAGTCCATGGTAAGAGATAGCACTAGGCAAAGCCACACTGGATGAACTTCAAACAAAACAAATAAGCAAAAGAAAAAAAAAAAAATTAAAACAAAAACGAAAACAAAAGTATTATGACAAATAGTGAACTTACGAAAAGCAGAAAGAATATTATAGTGAATCTTAGGGTACTTATGACCCAGTTTTAATAGTTATCCAAATAAGGCCACTAGTATTTCATGTGCCAAGTCCTATACAATTATGTTGTTGAATATCCAGGACAGCAAATAAGTGTACCTTTAAGCTCTCCAGTATGCATATCTAAGAAATACCTCTTACCTACAGTGACATTTCAGTCTCTTGGAATTCTGATCCAAAAAGATAAGTTAGATCCTTCTCTTTGGACAAGGGTAGGATGTGGCGATAACCTTTTCATTCTTTCCCCTACATCCATACAGGACATCCAATAGTACATTACACCTGGAACTTGTGACTTCAGCTTCACCTCAAATAATTTGAAATCAGCATCCAAGTCTCACAATCACATTGTAATGTTGCAAAGAAAAGGAGCACAGGATTTATATGACCTTTTTTTTTTCAGAATAATTTATAGGCCTTTGCAAAGCAAAGTTTTTCAGAAGTGAAAGATTAACCACAGTACATTATCTTAAAATTCGGAACAAAACAAAACAAATTTTCAGTTCTCAAGCCTGTTAGATTTTCCTCTGCCCGATGTCACAAGTAAGGTCTTGCCTTTCTCACACCTAGAGAATTAAAGTGGAGGAGGAGGAGAGGCCAGTGAGGAAAATGACAGTGAAGAAATGAAATCCAGAGTGGTTGAATATTAGGTTTTTAGCTCCTGGTTCAATGATCCTGGAGCAGATTTGGGCAGAGGCCACCCCCAAGTCATGCTGAACAATGTAATTCTTCTATATACCTATGACAGATCTATCTATGAACAACTGAAGCAGTTCTGAGAAGTAATAGGCATTATATTGGCAATTATTATAATCATTATTATAAGGATAATCTTAATTCTCCATGGATCTGTAGCACATTATGGTGTTTTTTTCACATTTTAAATAAATCATTCATGACAAATTTAATAACGACAAAGTGAATAGCTGCTCCCTTGTCACGAAGTTGGAATTTTCAACATTTTAAACTGGGGCTGTTTGTACTCTAGTGATAGGTACAGTGTGTCTTTTCAGGACTTTTATAGCAATGTGAGACAAACCCATTCTCTTTGATATTAGCGGGAGTAGATTAATCTCCCTGAGAAGAACAACCACTAGTGAGAACTTCTTACATGAGCCATTTCATTCAACCCTCACTCATTCCCATGAAGGGGATATTAATATCAAATTTTACAGGTAAAACCCTGGCCAGGTTAGACAATATCACCTAGAGAGCCTGGCTTAACATCTCAATTGAAGTTACTCTCTTGCTACACATTTGATGTTCTCTTTGAATATCAATGTCTTCCTCATAGTATTCTTTCTGGGGGAATAATCTTCTTCCTTCTTCTCCTAGCTAAATCCTAATCATACTTCAGGTACTGACTTCTATATTACTTTGGGGAATACTTTCTAACCTCCCCTCTCTGAAGCTTTTAGATGCATGCTTTTAATGCTTTCATATCTTTAGTAATTTTGTTTTCATATTAAAAAATAAAACTCCAATAATCCTCTTCTACTTAACCGAAATATTAGTTTAATCAACAATGTACATTTTCTGGGGAAAAAGGCATAGACGAACAGACAATAGACTATGATATCTTGACATTTTCCTGCTGCTACTTACAGTGCTTTTTTATTCAAATAAGTTGCATTTGTTTCCAAAATTCCTTATTACATTTGTATTTTTTACTACAAATATTTATTGTATTTTATTGTGTTTCTGTAATATTTTATCAGAGCACAGAAAGAAAGAATTGATGCATTTTTGAAAACAAAATGGAATATTTTATAAAGAAGCAATGAAGAACATTGCAAAAAACTGTTCCTACTTTGGGTGAGCATGAAGCAATATAAAAAAGTGAGATAAATTCCAGATGGATGATATACTTATTTTACAAGTGTAAGTTTTCATCCCGCTTTGATGAAGCTGAAATCAAAAATTGAATTATGTGTAATGCATTATGTGTGAGAATCGTGTAATAAAGGCAAGTTTGAATTCTAATCAATAGGCACATATTCCAAAAAAATGCATTTTCCTTATATCAAAAGACTGATGAGTGGATATTTATATATTTAAATTAAGATTGTTCTTTAATTTTTGAATACTCATTTTGATCCTCAGCCTACCATGTTTTTAGTTTTGCTAATCATATCAGTCAGGGTTCCTGCAGGAAATGAATAGAACAACAAGGATGTTTTAATTAATGAGAATTTAATGAAAGGCTGTTTGCAAAGGTATGAGCCAATTTAAGGAAACCAACAATGGATACATCTAACTTGTGGCAGCAGCAGGATGCTTTTCTCATCCTTAGACCTAAAGGGAAAAGGAAATAAAATAAAGTTATAGAGCTAGGCAAGATATGGAACCTTGCAAAGAGAAGCTACTTAAAATAGGAACTGTAGCACCAGGTAAAGGGATGCAATCCTTGCCAAAACCGGAGCTATGCAGAGAGAGAGATGAGAAAGGAATACCCTGACTTCTCTTTCCTCTGGCTCTCCAGGCTCTGGCTGTTGGCTCCCATTGATCCAAACTCAACTGGTGTCCAAAGGAGTCTGGATAATGCAACCCACAGATACCAGCCCTCCAGGGTCCTCAGTAAGGCAGAAAGGATGGAAATGTATGTGGGTGATAAAATAACCAACCCACTGAACAAGTACCAGTCTCTAACGCGACAGACAAGTCGTTTTCCACTCAATTCATTTACCATCTACCTTCTTTTTTAGATTGTAAAATGAGCTCTGGAAAATGAACAATATCCTCAGCTTCTTATGAGCTAGAGTGAACATAACTAAACACTTCCCACAGTGTGGACATCACTCAAAGTTTGTTCCCTTACGAATGATTTGGAAGGAATGAAATCTCAAGTTTAAGATGGAATTTACTTTTTCTTTATTTTTATTTTTGTGCAAGATCAGCATATAAATTGGTGACAAGCAGTGGTTTAAGAGATTAAATTTTGTCCATCATTTAGTTTCTGCAAACCCTGAAAGACTGACTTGCTAGAACTGATTTTGTTTATCAGCAGCATGTATCTTATTAGAACTGTTACCCTGATGGGAGAAGCATTATTGCTAAGGCCCTCAGCTGTACGGTCCCTTCAGTAGAAAAGTTAACTTAATTAGTTCTCAAGACAATACTACATCTTCTGTTGTTCATCACTTTTTCCCTTTCATCTTCTACAATCCTATGCTAATTTATTTTACCATGCTCACAAAATAGCTCCAAAAAGTAAATTACATACTCTCACCACGCGGTTGATTTATAGTGTTTTCCTAGAAGAAAACAACTCATGTAAAACTCTGAGAATTAGCCATCCCTATGTTATTTTTCTCAATATATTTTATCTTCTCTCCTTTGTAATAGCACTGTGTCCATTCACTTATATATGTCTCTAAGCATTAAGGCCTCAAAAAGTATTTTTATGCCTTAGATTAGGTAGAAAGTTAACAAATTTGAAAAATTTGTTGAAAATAAAATTGAATGGGTTGGGAGACAGATTTTAGTAGACAGAAACTGTTAGACCTAAAAGATTATCTTACATATATTTTGTCCAAACCCACTATTTTTAAGTCAAGTGTCTGAGGCTCAAAAAGGGGAATTACATTGCCTATAATAATACAGAACCCCATATGGAAAATTCACTTCCTCTGACAAGTTACAGTGGCAGGATTTCAAAATTGTCCCTTTCTAGCTGGGTTCTTTCATTTCCAGATCCAACTCTCCGAACAGCAACCAAGGTACAAGCATGGGCTTCCTTTGACAACATGCTATTTTACTGCAATGTGGAAATTTGAAGCCAGTTTCTCCCAGTCTCAGGTTACTGTAAGCACCTCTATTTCATCTTTTTCTTAGTGATCTAACAGACCAAAATAGATTCCCTTTTATCAATTAAGAGCAACCCTAAGGTTAAGGAAATAAAAGTTACCTACAGGTTGAGGATTCAGGAACCGGCTGGCATGACAAATTTTCAAATTCCTGCCACTGTAAGAAAAACCACACCCTTGCTAAACTCCCTAACAATAGGAGTTAGCAGGCTGATTTGCAACCCAGACCACTACAACTCTTGATTTTATAGGGGCCCAGCCCTTACAAACTTCTCCTCTCCTCTGTCCTCCCTTTTCCTTATCTCCCCTCTCTTCCTCTCCTCTCCTCTGCTCTCCCTTTTCTGGGACAGAGACTCACTTTATTGCTCCGGCTGCAGTGCAGTGTGGCATGATCGTAGCTTACCGCAGCCTTGTCCTCCTGAGCTCAAGTGATCCGTCTGTGAGCCATCCCACCTGTCCCCCTTATAAACAATCTTTTCTGATAAGCTATTACAGACTAGATTTTAAGCCAATTGCAGTCAGCAGCTGCACTGAAAATGTCTTTATGTCCTATATTTCATTATTGACTTAATGAGCCAAATGGCACCCCATTTTAATGTTAAATCTCCATCACAAAGTGAACATGGGATATATGTTATATATGTTTACCCAATGCGCATGCACTTGGCTCCCCTCCTAAATATGCATAGCTTTTTCTGAAAACCTGCTGAATATGTGTAACACCAGCCAGCGCTTTGAGGCATAAAACCCAACCTCTCTCTTCCCCTCTTAGAAGAGAGAGAACCTTCAGTTCACACTGGAGATTTTCTCTTCATGGCTTCCAAACTGATATTCCCAATAATGCTCCCCTCCTACTATTTAACCACCAAGATAGTCTTTTTGATGACACTTTTCTATCTCAGTGTTTTCTTACATTTTAAAAAATCTCCCAAACAGTAAGCAGAGTAGTAATACAAGGTGCTAAACATATAGCATTCTGTGTAAAAAAAATGATAAAAATAAAACATTTATTCCATGTCATATATCCATGCCTGAGGCTTTTTTCACGATACTTCTTCGCTGATTTTTTTTTAGCATCTTCCTACAAGTCAAATGAAGTTTCATGTTATATATTTAAGGAAAATATTGAAAACAAATATAAAATAATTTTATTTCTATCACTTACTTTGTGTGTTATTAAATGAGGAAAATGCTAAAACAAATAACATAGGAAAACCCAAACCTCAGTCATGTGGAGCACAGATGCCATTTCCACAAAATCAAATGCCTCAAAATAGTCCTGACTTCTTTACAATTCTAAGGATTAGATCAGGGACTTCTGACTCCCCTTTGTTCCTCCACATTGTGTTGAGAACTATAGAAACAAGTGTTTACAAATTGTTCTTTTATATTTTCTACTTATCTAAACCCCCCAGTTGGGAGTTTGAACAACAGAATTACAGGAAACCAACTCTGGCAGCTAAGCATGCCGACATAATGTCTACAATATGGGGAATGACAGTAGGGGCGGAAATCAAGAACACTGGAACTGGGTCCAGAGAGGCAGTGCTTGCAATGGGTGAGGCAGGGAAGTGAGGGAGGCCTGGAGGGGAGAGGTGGGGGGCTCAGAAAGTGGTTAGAGACTAAACTGCCCTCTCTGAAGCTTTAAAAGTATTAAGGCTCTTCCTACCTATGGCCTTAGTTTCTGGGTCACGTTTTCTCTGAAATATCCATGATTTTCTTAATTGACAACTATTTAAGAAATCAAATAAACTATCTTTAAAATTAGTATCAAAACAACACACACACATGCACACACGTGTGAACAGGTAGCTCTTCAGAGGAGTAATGGCAAAGAAGTTTCATCTCAGGTGGTGATGCAGAATCGTCGTTAAGTGGTAGTAGGCACAGCTCTTTTGAGAAAGACTCTAAAACTACTCACAGAAATTATGGGTGTGACACACACACACATACATCCACTCGCATACAGGTGTTTTACAACAGTGTTAGTGTTAGCTGTCTAACACTTGCCTGGCATGGACTATGTTATGTTACATATGTTGTCTTATATGCATGTATGTTTAAGTATTTTCCTTCATGATATATGTCTGGCATGATCTTAAACACTTTGCAAATATAAACCTGTTTAATTCTCCAAACAACTTATAAGGTAGGTATTATTATTTCAATTTTAGAGGTGAAGAGACTGAGACATCCATCCAAGGCTACATATTTAGGAAGTAGCAGAACAAGATTTTGAGTGTGGAGACAAAGCTCCAGACCTTACAGTGCTGATCACTCTATGAGACTGCCTCTCATAAACCAGGATTTCAAGAAATATTTATTGAGTACATGCCTTGAGCCATGCTCTACTTTTGGCACCAGGATAACAATGATGAATCAATCATAGATCCAATTCTCCTGATGCTTAATTCTAGCTGCAAAGACAGGGATAGATAAATGAGCCGATACATGACAGGATTTCAGATAAAATATCAGACAGATCAAGAGAAGAAATACAATAGAATAATGACAAAGAGACCTTTGATGAGCTGGTGTATGAACTGAAATGTGAATGGAGATGAGGAGCCTTCCTTGTGAGGTAGAGCGCTCCAGAAAGAGGACGCAGTCAGTTCAAAGCCTTGAGGCATCAATAAGCGTTGCCTGTTCCAGGAACAAAGAGAAGGACTGTGTGGCTGGAGAGCCTCAGTGAAGAGGAGCAGGAGTTAGAGTGAAAAAGCTGTTCTGAGAATAATTTTTGCATGATCTAGTGGGTCACATTAAGGAGTTGAATAATGTTTTCCATGAACAGAGTAAGGGAGACACCATATGAAATTTGATTTATTATCCTCATCTTTTGTCTGAATACTCACTCTTGGTTTCAGTAGGTTCTTTCCAGCAATTGAGCTTCTCTTTAAGACTTCTGGAGTACTTATTAATGTAGTTATTTATTTTCGTGTGGCTTAACCTGTTGTCTGAATTAAGATTCTGATGTCTTATGTGGGAAAACACTCTTCCTGTCTAAACAGTAATGTCCAGAACAACTTCCAAATCCAAAACGGGACTCTGAAATCCTTGTTCCTATCTCCAGGTGATTAATTAAAATGAAAGCATCATCAATAATGGAAGAATTACCTATTTAGAAAGTACATAATGGAGTTTCCCACTCTTGGAGCTTTATTACATGGTCTTATTCTTAAAAAAAAAAAAAAGAAAAGAAAAAAGAAAAGAAATCTCTACCTGTACAGTTTGTAGATACTTCCAATTTATTTAGATTGAATCATTGGATCAGAACAAATTACAGAGTTCAGAACTTTAAAAAATAACTTATAGTTGAATAAATTCACAATTTTAAGTTTGAGTTACATGATTATTCAAAATCTAAGAAGCTCATATTAAACTACCTGCATTCTATGGCTTGGCTAATTGTTGTCAGAATGTAAAGAATTTCCTCTAGTCATTCTTTTTCTCTTAAAATTATATTCCAGGTCTTAAGATAAATAAATATGGTTTATGTTTGATAAAAGTGAAGACTGAGATATTTTATAAAACAGGGAGGAAAAGGAGCAAATATAAAACCTCATTTACACATAAGGATGATCAATTCTTAATAACAAAACTCTCCAGAGTAAGTAACTTCGTTTGTAAACAGTGAGGAAAAGCAGCAAATATGAAACATCATTTACACATAAGGATGATCAATTCTTAATAACAAAACTCTCCGGAGTCAGTAACTTAGTTTGTAAAAAGCAATGGCCTTGACATCAGGAAGTTTGAGTTCTAGACTCTGGTTGATAAACCATACATCCTGTAATCATTTCATAATAAGAAAAATTAAAAATTTGAGCAAAAGTGTATTTACTTACAGTTTAATAACATCGATGTAACATACTTCAAAAAATATCCCAATAAACTATGTTTCATTTTTTTCAGACTTAATTGTTTTCTATTATATTGTAAATAGCAGAGATCATGTCCATTAAAATTGAGCCCTCTGGGTCAGCATATAGTAGCTATTCAATAAATGTGCTGGTGAATTTTTCTTAAATTAATGAAGGAGTAAATAAATGCTGGATATAGAAATGAAGAAAGTTAGCTAGAAGGAATAAGATCTAGTGTTCTGTTGCACAATTTGGCAACTATAGTTAATAATAATGTATCGTTTATTTCAAAATAACCACAAGAGTGGAATTGGAATCCCTAATCAAAAATGTAAATGCTTGAGATGATTCATATCCTAATTACCCTGATTTGATCATTTCACATTGTATGCTTATATCAAAATACCACACACAGCCCATAAATATATACAGCTATAATAGATACATAATAATTTTAAATGAAAAATGTTAAAAACAAATAAATAAATGAAGAAAGGAAGAAATAAAAATACAAACTTAATTTTATATTTGGGAGATATTTAATTGGTCAGTAACTTCATGGGATTGGGATTTGTTTTTCAAAACATAAACTATTGGTTTATGCATCTTCTATAGAATTTCTAAATGCTATATTTAAGATACCTTATCTAAAGTTTAATGACCTAATGTAGTATTTCAGGTGAAAACATTGTATAAGCTAAGCAATATATATAAATGAGTAGCCAGTAGCAAATGACTACTGCGCCAACCAGCTTTGCCTTTTCCCGCCAGGTATGTCTCCTACCCTTCTTATTATTATCTTAATTCCAGGAGTAGCATGTGTGAGTACACCAGTGGCTTTCTCTGTCCTTGTGCTTCTGGGTGTGACAGGACATGGGACCCCCAGTTGGAGAGCAGAATAGGGAGTTGATTAAGGTCAGAATGCATATTTCATATTTTTGCATAGTCCATTAAAAATAAACTTTTTTGAAACTACTATATTTTGAAATTATCTTTTTCTTTGGACAGTGACTTATAAAGTGCCTATACCCTCAAAACCTCTAACCCCACTTCCTGGTCCCAAAATAGACTCTCCAGAAAATTACTATAAGAGAAGCCTAATAAACTAAAAATACTGTGTAGATTGGTATGTTTTAATGTTTAGGATTCAAGTTCTGAGGGTGAAAAACCTTGTCTGAATTTTTTCATCATGAATTGTCAGGAGAAAACTGAGGCTTAGACAAGCTAAAATCCATTATCTAACTTGTGTTAACATTCATTGAATATGATCTAGATGCAAAAGGTTTGGCTAAGGACTTCTGCTTCTTGATGGTGTTGTTGGGCTTGCATATGATAAAATATGTGTTTATTTTAAAATTTAATTATTAAAAAAGCTGCTATAAAGGTAAAGTAATAATAATACTAATAAGCACTTTATTCTATGAAGCTTTGTTTTCATTAGCTTCCTTGTCATCAAGGAAATGTTAGTACATTCCAAAGAGGTGTTCAAAGAAACTTTAATGAAAAGTCAATTTACAAGATGTGATAGTAAAGCATCTTGGGATGCCACCACCAGCAAAAATGTAGATAAGAAGCAAGGGAGACAGAGGGCAAGGAAACCCAGTATGTGTAGTTTGCAGACATCATCCTCCCAAAGCAGGAAGTAGAATAATGACAGTAGATTTAGAGACTCCACAGAGAATTTGTAAAGTAGAATACATCTGTGAATTTGGACTCAAAAATTTCAAAATAATGATTGTTTGAAAACTATGTTGTAGATACAGACTCCTAAGAGATTTCCTAGAAGCTTATTAATTTCTAATTCTACCGCTAAGGACTTAAGACAGTTGGTGAACAACTCTTAGTGATATGTTCTCTAGTCTAGGCCCAATGGACCATCACCATCTGAAGTCTGCTGATGAACAAATTGGTCTTTGAATTCATTTTTGGCAAAACAGTTGGATTGAAATAGAAGGTCATTTACCACTACTATACCCCCATCCCCATAATTCAAGGAAGTTTTTATAGAAATGTCCCAACTGATGAGTAGTGTCTTAGCCTCAACTTGTATAGAGGCAATGAGGTTTACCATCATGGTGCTCTAATTTGGCTTCACTGGGATTCAATAAGAGTCTTTAAAAAATTCCAATATCCTGCTTGCATATTAGATAAATTAAATCAAAACCTCTTCAGAAAATATGTCAGTATTTATGAACTTCCTCAGGTGATTCTCAGATACATTAAAAGTCGGGAGCCATTGATGTAATGCAGGATATCTCAACCTCAGCATTATTGATATTCATGCCATATAATTCTTTGTTGTTGGGGGCTGTCCTGTGCCCTGGATGATGTTTAGCAGCATTCCTAGCCTTACCTACTAAATGACAGTAGTACTCTCCACCCCATAATATCAACCAAAAATGTCTCCAGACATTGTCAAATGTTTCCTGGGGCAAAGTTATTAATTCCCAGTTGAGAACCAATGGTGTAATGAACATAAGTAAGCAAACTCAGCTATGTCTGAATCCAATTCCTTCCACTGTGGGATTAAGCCCTCTCCCACTGATTAATTATCTGAACAATTTGAGGTCTTAGTTTATTCATCTGTATTTTGAGAATGTGGTTTATAAAGTATGCAAAGCACCTGCTATGCCATAGTTAGTGTAAGATGTCAGTTATTATTCTGCTTAAAATTTTCAATGATTAAGGAAAAACAGTTGATATTTTGAGTACTGGATGATATTTTGAAATGTACACATTTTTAACCTTGGCAAAAAAAGAAACAAAACACTGTTCTGAAAGTAGGCTAGGATTTTAAGATACAGAGATTCTGAAGTCACAGTCAGAGTGAATGCAGGATAAACTGCAAGGCTACGCAGCTTAAGACATCACTGCTATTACTGGAGAGTGATTCCCAGGCTAGCTTTATTTATCAATTATCAGGAAGATTGTGAGAGCACAGCATGTCTTTGTCAACCAGTGGTTTTACACTTGTTGGTCAAAAGATACATAAACCATAATATTACAAAATATACTTGCCTCTCTTCCAGAGTAAAACCTTTTACAGGACATACTAGAAGCACTAATTTTCCCAAGGTCCTTAGATAAATGGCTTGTGAGTGATTGTAACTTTGACTTAATTTTTGTCACCTGCATAACTGCAGTGGTTATCTTATTAAGTAAAATGGAATAAGCAAAAACAGAGGACTGATTTGTTTAGAAAAGAAATCTATTTTAGCATTTTGTTCTTATTTAAACCATGCATACTATGGTGTGGCTCATGACTGTTAACTAAGGGAATTCTTTTCACTTCAGATCAGGAAATGGGAGTGAATTTAATAAAAATAAATTATTAAACAGCTATTTTTGTCCCCTGAAGGTGGCCAAGGACATTCCGGTCTTATGAGGATATGATTGGTCTAGCATGCAATCGTGTTGCCATATACAAATTTCATTCCACACTTTTAAAAAACTACTCTTTTAACATTTCTTCAATGCCTACCGAGTGATAGGAATCACTTTAGATACAGTGGATTCAATAATGATGTTGTTGGTTGAAGGGGGACACACAAATGTTTCTGTCCTTGTGAGATTCAATATTTTGAAGAAGTCATAAATTAATTAAATAACTAAACAAATAAATGTGAAATTCAAGCTGTGTTATTTTTTAAATAACATTTTTATTGAGATATGGTTCACATACTATAGAATTATAGTATAAATTATATACTTTTAAAGTATGTAATTTAGTGGTTTTTACTGAACTCAAAGAGGTGTATATAACTACTGTCTAATTTTACAACACTTTCATGACTCCATTAAAAAAAAACCCATACACCTTAGCAGTCATTATTCATCATCCTCCCCTTTCCCGCTACAGCTTCTGGCAAAAATTAATATTCTTTCCATGTTTTACAGATTTTCTTTTTCTGGGCATTTCAGTTAAATGAATTTATACAATATATAGTCTTTTTGTCTTTCTTCTTCCACTTAATATGATATTTTCAAAGTGTATCTGTGTTGTACCATGTATCAATACTTCATTCCATTTCTTGGTTGAAAAATATTCGGTTGCATGAATATGCTATATTGTGTTGATTCATTCATCAGTTTATAGATATTTGGGTTGTTTCCACTTTTGGGCTACAATGAATAGTTCCGCTATTAATATTGATGTAGATGTATGTTTTAAATTATTTTGAGTGTATTCCTATGAGTTCAATTGCTTAGTGATAAGAAACTCATGTTTAACATTTTTAGTTTTCTGAAATGAATGTGTCATTGCTAAGTCCCACCAGTGGCATACACAGACTCCACTTCTCCACATCTTCACCAACCTTTGTCATCTCAGTGTGTGTCTTGTGGTTTTGAGTTGTTTTCTCTAAAGACTAATAATGAGCATTTCTTCATGTGTTTATTGGCTATTTAAATCTTTCTAGGGGAATATCTATTAAAATTGTTTGCCTGTTTTTTATTGGGTTATTTATCATTTTGTAATTGAGTTGAAGGAGTTTTGTTAAATATTGATACAAGTCCTTTGTCAGATATATGACTTGCAAAGTTTTTTTTTTTTCTTATTTGTTTGGTTGTCTTTTCTTTTTTTTGAGGTTTATCCTTTGGGGCATAATATTTTTAATATAGATGGAATCCAATATATCTATGATTTCTTTTATTGCTTGTGTTTTAGTGTCATATGTAAGAAAACATTGTCTAATCCAAATTTAAAATCAGGAATATTGTTTTTCCTCTAAATGCTGCCTTACCTGTATTTCATAAATTTGTGTATGTAGTGTTCTGTGTTCATTTATCTCAAAATGTTTTCTAATTTATCTTACTTCTCCTTTACTCATTGATTACTTAGGAGAGTGTTGTTTAATTTCTATGTATTTGTGAATTTCCCCAATTTTTTTCTCATATTGCTATTTCATTTTTTTCTAGTAAAAGAACATTTTTATATTAATTCAACCACTTGTAATTTCTTTATTTTGCTTCTTATAGTGTATCTTAGATAATATTCTTTCTTCACTTGGGAAGAATGTATATTCTCCTGTTGAGTGTGGTGTTGTGTGAGTTATCTGTTAAGACTAAAGGTTTTATAGTGTTGTTTAAGTCTTTTTTATCTTTGTTAACTTCTTAGTATCTGTGGTATATGTTATTGAAAGTAGAGTAATGGTATCTGTGTGTGAATCTCTGAGTTATCTCACTTGAAGTCTGTGGAGCTCTTGGATATGTACATTAATGTTTTTCATAAAATGCATCAAGTTTTCAGAAATTATTTCTTTAAATATCTTTTCTGTTGTGTTCTCCTTTTCTTCACTTTTTGGGATTTCCACCATTTATATATTGTTGTCTTTGAAGCTATTCTAATGGTTTGATGCTCTACTCATTTATTTTTCATTTTTTTCTATTCTTTGTATTACATAATATCTACCAACCTATCTTCAAGTTCACAATCCTTTTCTCTGCTAGTTCATAACTACTATTGAGCCACTGTAGTGAATTTTTCATTTCAGTCATTGTACCTAATGAATCTAGAATTTCCATTTTTTCTTTTTGGTTTGTAATTTCTCTCTGTTTCTTATCTGTTTGGCAATACATTGTTCTTATATTTTAATTCTTAGACAGTTTTCTTTAGTTATTTTTAAAACATATTTATAATAACTTATTTAAAGTCTGTCTAGTAAGTACAGTGTGGGCTTCCTCAGGAACAGTGTGTATTGGCTGACTTTGTGTGTGTCGGGGGACACTATACTATTTTATTTCATGTTTTATATTTTTTGTTAAATATTGGACATTGTCATTAATATGATGCGGTAAATCTAAGAATTAGATTCCCTTCCCCAGTCTCCAGGGTTTGTTACTGTTGCTGTCAATGAAATTTTCATCTGAGGTGTGATTGGAGAAACGGGGCAACATTCCAAAACATGGGGCCGAAATTCACTGTAGGTGCACCATTTGTGTAGTTCTCTGCTAGGCCTTGGGAACATAAATAGAACTAATTTATCTAGGAATATAATGATCTAATGAGTTGAGAGGTTTAGAATGATTGTTATTCAGTCCATTGTGGTATGTGTCACCTTGAGAGAAAATGTGCCACCATGGCGTTTCAGATGCAGCCATCTCTATTTCTGTCTGTAGAAGTGTAGGTCCTGGGAGTTAAGAAAGCCTCTACAATGGCACTGTTCCCTAAGGAAAAACTGGATTTTCTGCTTGCACAAGAAACAAGGTATTATCAGGATATTCAAGATAGAAGAGAACCATATATGTGGAGCCATAGAGGTAGAAGTGGCCAAGGGGTCACATGGAAAGAACTGAGTTTGGAAAAGGTGGAAATGGCAATTTGGGTTATTGCCTTGATATACTTTATGTAAAACTAAAATTCACTGGAATCCTTGTCTTATCGATGGTGAAGTTGGAGTAGTAAATTGGACCAGTGTCTGTCTATACTTTATGTAAAAAAGACACTTTTTGAAGATTAACTATATTAAAGAAACTTTACATTGCCAATACAAAATAGCCATATAAATTGGAAAAGATGGCAGCTCACTCAACCTGCAGATTTTCATTTCTCTTTTTCATTGTTTTCTAATGATATAAAAGAAATGCAGAGTGGCATAGTAATTGAGAATGTAGCTGGCAAGTATAAGCAAGACAAAAAAGAGGCAAGAGAAATAGGAAGCTTTCAGTCTCAGGATATAACAATTTTAATGAAATGATATTATGGAGATACAGAGATATTTTTAGAAAACTGAGTGGGAGTTTCTGACCTCTAATTTGCAGGTTAAAGCTATATACATAAGTTTAGTAAATATCTAGGGAACAGAAACAACCAAAAACTGAAAAATTATTAAAGGTTGTTGTATTACATATGAAAATTGTTGTATTTATAATTGGCTTATTTTGTGCTGACAGGATTATTTATTATAAGATAGGTTTTCAGTAAAGAAAGTTCAATGGGCTCAGTAATAAAGTTAAACATAAGAAAAGCAATTATTTTTTCTTTGCATTAACTGTTTATACCTCCCAGCTGTGCATGGAGTTGGGGAAGAAGCAGTCCCACAGAAACACTGTTTTAGGTCTGAAGAATGTGTGTGCGTGTGTGTGTGACCTCAGGAAATAGTTGCCTTTCTTACAGATTTATTTTTTTGTAATCCCCTTCTCTTAAGTACTGGAATCTGTTATCTCAGACAAGTATATACAGCATAGCAAAAGACTCTAAGTTCTCTGCAGACTTAGACTGGATAGCAAGTCACTCTGACAACACAGGAAGAGAGAGCGGTACTGCAATCCTGAAAATAAGGTGAGAAGGAAGAATTGCCATTTTATAAAAAGTAAATAAGGTGGAGAAAGGACAATGATAGATGAACTTTCACACCACGTTCAATCTCTAAGATCAATGGAATTACAGTTCTTATTGCAAGGTAGAAAATGTGTTTTTGTTAATGTTAAAATAAGTATAAGTTAGAGCCCAGTTGTTCAAGAATCTTAAGTCCAATAATTCTAGGTAAGAGCTTTATTCTGGAAGTAAATGGAGTCCCTGATAATTTTTTTTTTAAGAGGAAGGATAATAATAGGAAAAAAGCAAAAAACATGGCCAGGCACAGTAGCTCATTCCTGTAATCCCAGCAATTTGGGTGGCTGAAGTGGGAGGATTGCTTGAGCCCAGGAGTTTGAGACCAGCCTGAGCAACACAGTGAGTTCCCATCTCTATAAATGAATGAATGAATAAATAAATAAATAAATAAATAAATAAATTAGCTGCCTGTGATGGTATGCACCTGTGGTCCCAGCTGCTCAGGAGGCTGAGGTGGGAAGATTGCTTGAGTCCAGAGATTGCAGTTAGCTGTCATTGCACCACAGCACTCCAGCCTGAGTGACAGAGTAAGATACTGTCTCAAAAAATAAAATAAAACAAACAAACAAAAAGCAACCTGTTCAGCTTCTTTTCCTATAAAAGAAAAGTGGCTGAAGGGTCAAGAAAACAAAAATCAACAATCAACAGAAAAATCTGTGTCTAATATTTTAAACTAAGCATTCTCAGTGACCTTAAATCTTCCTTTTGTTTATATTTTATTAGTTAAAAAGTGGGAGAAAGAAATGAAAGAAAGGAAGGGAAACGGGAGAAAGACAAGGAGGAAGGAAGAAAAGGAGGAAGGAAGAAAGGAAGAAAAGAAGGAAACAAGGAAGGAAGGAAGGAAGGAAGAACAAGGAAAGGAAAGGAAAAGTCATTGAATTCTATCAGAATACAGAGAATTCACAAAAGAAAAAAATAAGTTATTAGGAAAAAAGTAATTTCATTTTTATTCATTTATTTCAGCAGCATTATGTCTTAGAGGTATTGCAGGATAACAGTAATAGGATGACTTTAGAGTCAGAAATACCTGTTGGAATTTTATTCCTAAGTTTTCTTATTTATATATTATAAATTAGTTAAAATCTGAATGTAGGAAAATTGCTGTGCTTTTGTTATCCACCCCACCACCCATACATGCGTACACATCACACACCAATTTGACTTTTAAAAGCCTTATGTAAATGATTTAGTGAATAAATAGATTCAGAGAGGTTAAAAAAAAAACCTGGCATAGCGTCAAAATAAGATTAACATTTAGTGAATACAGCAGAATTTTGTTGTTCATTGTCTGTCTCTCTCACAATACTGTAAGTCCGTAGATGGCAGACAATACAGCACTTTTGTTTAGGGATCTTACCCAGGTATCTAGAACAATGCGTACCATAGAGTAAGATGGCAATAAATATTTGTTCAACTAGTGAATGACTGGATATGTCAAGAGAATATATATTTACATCTCATATCTTTTTGCTCTATTACTATCTTTAAAAATAAACGTTAACAATTTTATAATGTTAAAATATGTAATATTTTGATTCAATGTTTAGAAAGCCTGTATTTTATGCTTTACTACAAGAAGAGAAGGAGGCATGGTTAAGGAAAATGCTCTCCAACTACACCTTAAGGTTATTTGACTTAAAGTCCATGTGAGTCTTGATTTTCAATTGCCCTCTGACCTTTTAATTGGACTCTCTTTTATTAAAGAGATAGATAGTCATGCATTCTTGTTACTGAGCTAAGCTTGTTGTTTTTCTGCAGCTGGGGAGGAGAGTCAGCAAGACAGTGGATTTTCTAATAAATTCAAAATCATTTTTTCTGGAATGAGCCAATATTTTTATTGGGTCATGTATCTAACAGACATGGTAGCATATGATACCCAAATGAAATCTTCTCACAAATCACCACTTACTGATTCATGCAGGGAAAGCCAATTAGGATACCCTAAGTGAAAGATATAAGGTGGAGGGAGAGGTCGAGGGCCTGTCTATGCTGCAGCACATTTCCAAGAGCCCACCTGGAAGGGAGATTAAATTAGGCTCCCTTTGGAGGAAATTAGGATTCTTTAAGACTCTAAATGTAGCTGGATATTAGAATGGAGGTCTAATCTTAAACCCAATTTAGAGAACATTAGCCTGCCTTTCTTGAGCCCACGTCTCCAAACGTGAAGCAAAAAATTTTCTGCTAATGAAGGCAAAGACTTCAAGCAGAGGTCATTTCAAATCTGCAGGCAGAGGACAGAGGGTTCCTTTTCTGTCTCCATCGGGCAGCTTTTGCTGGTGATGTTGTTCCCAGGCTTGCTTGACAGCCATCTGCATGGGACACTTCCCTGCATAGGAAGTACAAGAAGGAATGGAAGTCTCATTACTGAATGATCCTGTGCTTTCTCAAGATTTGGAAAATGTCAAGGTATTTTCTCTTCTGCATAATGCTGATGGGCTCTTAATTTGAGGCGTGGATAAGAGAAAGAGAAATTCATATAGAGAATTGTTCTTGACCACACTGATTACTTAGATATTTTGCCTTCTGCTTTCTTTGTGATTAATTGGATGAGGGAAGGATCATGTAGCTTAATAGCATCCAGGGCAAATATTTGCCAGACACAAAAATGGGAATGATAACCCCTGCCCTGACTACGACAATGGTTGTCATAGGATTCGGTAATTTAATAAGCAAAGTTCAATAATTAGGATGCAAAGCACAAACATCAAAATATACAAAACATTCCCATCTATTTGCATCATGAATCAAAGCATCCTGAAAACCTTTGGAGCAAAAGTCATCACTTTCAAGAACCAGAGAGGTGTGTATGAGAGAGAGAGAAGGGATGGAGGGAGCGAGAGAGGGAGGTATAAAAAGAGAGGAAATATTTAGGGAGCAAGGCTGAATGTAAACCCATGAAAGCGTTTTGCAAGTCCTAAATTGGTAATAATTTCTATAACACATTAATTTTTCTTTAAACAGCCTTGGGCACCTAGAAGAATTTTAGTATCTTACTCCCCTGCATTTCAGTGAGATGCTTGTAAATTCATTTTGCCTTATTATGGATAATATGCATGCCAGGAGGGAATTTATTTTTTAACTGCGGTTGGTCTTCCATTCAAAGTTGTAATGCCGCTCTGATTTTATGGGCCATGAAATATAGTTTCCACAGCCACCTCCTTCCTGTCTCAGCCTCACTTACACTACTGGTCCATTTCTTTCTTGTTGGACATCAAAGAACACAGTTTTAAACCAAAATTTTGCCTCTCTTACATGTTTAAGGAAAAATAATATTTCCTAAGCCTTTATTCATTGACATTGTTTCCATATTCTCCATATATACAACTACCATTTGTAGAGTATTTGCAATGTGCCAGGCAGCACACTGAAAATTTACAAAATTATTTCTTTAAATTGGTGCCATTTGGGGCAGTAGTCATCATAAGCCTTAACTTACAAAGGAGAAAGAAACAAAGGGTGGAAGAGTTTAAACAAGAGTTTGAAAATGGCGAATAATGGCTTCTAATTCAGGTCTAGCTCCACCTCCTTAACACCTTACCATGCTGCCTCCTCTTACAACAAACCTCTTTCATGTACAGTTACAAACTCTAATTTCTCATCTTATATATTTTTTTAATTTCATAATTCATGGTTACTGAAACTTGAAATCTCATATTCTCCTTAAAGAATTACTGAGGTAAATTTGTCCATAAATTCGTCTTTAGCTATATAAGAATAATTGATACCAAAATTTTTCCTTGTAGCTGAAAATCCACATAACTATCCATTAATTCTCATTATAATTAATGTAAAAATGCAGTGTTACTATTAATGGATGTAATTACATACTGTAGATAACTGTAAACTCTATCATTATACTAATGAAATGTAAAACAGTCTCAAAGCAACTAGGAACTTGATAGCAGCTGAAACATCAGGTAACAGCATTTCACCATTTATTGGAGACTGGCATAATGCTTGTAATATATTTGAGAACCAGTTCTGTGCCAAATGCAGGTGATGTTTTTAAGAGATTAAATACAGTATTGAAACAGAGACATAAAGGAGTACGCCATAAAGAGTTTTACTTCAAAATACTCAGGGAAAAAAAAAAGAAGAAGAAGAATCATTATGGGGCAAGACAAGGTTGAGTGCTCCAGGGTAGATTGCCAATAGATCCTTCCTTTTTTTTTCTTTTTATTTATTTATTTATTTTATATATATATATATATATATATATATATATTATACTTTAAGTTCTAGGGTACATGTGCACAATGTGCAGGTTTGTTACATACGTATACATGTGCCATGTTGGTGTGGGGCACCCATTAACTGGTCATTTACATTAGGTATATCTCCTAATGCTTTCCCTCCCCCCTCCCCCATCCCACAACAGGCCCCTGTGTGTGACGTTCCCCTTCCTGTATCCAAGTGTTCTCATTGTTCAATTCCCACCTATGAGTGAGAACTTGTTGTGTTTGGTTTTTTGTCCTTGCCTCATTCTCAGATCCTTCCTTAAATAAGCTAACATCAGAGTCTTTTTTTAAAATCATTTCAAACCGTAAGTAACTGCAACAGTGTCTGCCTCCTGCTGTGGTATATAAATGCATTTGTTTAGGGACAGCTCTGGTGGCCATACCTCTCCAAACTCCTCTCCTCTTTGATTCTTTGCTTCTTTGGCAGAATCCTCCTTCAGATCTGGAACATCTCATACATTCACTCGGGTCTCTGCACAAACACCCTCTCTTCCAAGAGGATACTGGCCTCCCTTGACTACTCTATCTAAACTCCCCTCCCTCCCCTCATCACTCTCACTACATTTAACCTCATTTTTCGTTTTCTTTGTTGTTGCTGTTGTTGTTGTTGCTTTTAGAGACAGGGTCTTGCTCTTTCTGTCACCCAGGCTGGAGGACAGTGGCACAATCATAGCTCACTGTGACCTTGACCTCCTGGGCTCAAGTGATCCTCCTGCCCTGGGAGATTACAGGTGCCCGCTACCAAGCCCGGCCCTTTTTGTTTTCTTTAAGTCATTTTATTTTACTTTGTTTTTCAATTTGTTTGTTTGTTTGTTCATTTATTGTCTGTAACCTGTGCTTGACTGAAAGCCCCATGAAGAGAGAGACCACGTTGGTCTTGCTCACCTAAGCATTCCCAGCCTTTGGCACAGTGGCTAGACCATAACGAAATTAACAAATATTTTCATTTTTTTCTATTAGAATGAATGAATGATCCATTAGTTATTCCCTCTTATTACTAATGAGAATATGATGCCGAGTCAAAGACCAGTTCCTCTCCATCTTCTCTGGACTACAGCCTCTCTCCACCCCTTCCACCTGTTCAGGGATTTTGATCCTACAGTTTGGTCATTTCTCTCAATCCCCAGTTATCAAACTCTCTTTATTTATTGGTCTATCCTAAATAACATAGGGTATGATCCCATTTCTCTAATATATACAAATATAAACATTAAAATATGATCCTATGGTCCCATATATTTTTATAATCCATTATCTGAAGAAATTTGCTCTGAAGGTAAGCAAAAATATGTGTATAACTACTGTCTATATTTCCTAAGATCCCATTTTTTTCTTTCATCCACTTATTTGGTTTAATCTACGTGGTTCAATCCAGTCTACTGCTCTGACTGTGTGATTGCAAGGGTCACTGGAGGCAAATTCAATAGATGTTTTGCATCTGCACCTCACTAGATTATTAAGGATTTTTAGCTAAGTAGACCACTGTTTTTTTTTGTTTTTTTTTTTTGTTTTGTTTTGAGACAGAGTCTCACTCTGTCACCCAGGCTGGAGTGCAGTGGTGCAATCTCGTTTCACTGCAACCTCCACCTCCAGGTTCACGCCATTCTCCTGCCTCAGCCTCCGGAGTAGCTGGGACTACAGGCGCCCGCCACCACACCCGGCTAATTTTTTGTATTTTTAGTAGAGATGGGGTTTCATCGTGTTAGCCAGGATGGTCTCGATCTCCTCACCTCGTGATTCGCCCGCCTCGGCTTCCCAACGTGCTGGGATTACAGGCGTGAGCCACCGAGCCCGGCCAAGTAGATCACTCTTGAAACATTTCCTCTCTGGGCCTCCAGAACAGCGCCTTCCCTGGGGCTTCCTTCCACATCTCTGAACTCATTTCTAGTGTTTTTGCAATCGTCTCTTCTATTCCAATTCTTCCACAATACAGTACCTGGACCTTCTTTCCTTCTCTCTCTCTCTCTCTTTTTTTTTTTTCATAGTAACCAATTTACTTTTATTAAAGGTCTTCACATAACATACTAAACGTTTTTCAACTGTTACTACAATGACCACTTTTAATGGCTAAATATAAGAAAATTGTTTGGATGAGCTAAGCTAAAGCAAATTTGGGAGATGGTACTTATTCTTGCTTTCATTTGTGATTACTTTATTCCAAGGACAAATTTTTAAGAGGTAATAGTACTTAATGCTGTTATTATTGAATTCCTTCTGTGTTGTAGACCCTACACTAAATGCATTACAAACGGAGACTTAAAACAGTTAGAATCAAAGTGTGTATAATTATCCTGTATTTTGCTCATTTAAATAAGTAACATCTGGAATTTGAACTCAAGACTGCCTGATTCCAAAGGATGATTTTTATACTATGACCTACTGCTAACATTTTGAATGGCAGCAATGAGAAAATTCGAGGAACAATATGGGACATGCATTCCAGATGTAGCATATTATCAGACAGATTCTAGAAAATTATCTCACAAATAATTGTTTCCTGATTTAGGCATAAAAATATTTTTTGAAAATAATAATTTTCAACTAGTAAAATAAGAGAAGAAAAAAGTAAAAGAAATGAAAATGAACTTTTCAATAGTTGTCATTGTCAAACTAAAAATGGCTCTCATTACTTTTATATGACTCTAAAAATAACAAATATATTATCTATGTGACTGGAAATCCAATAGGGCACAGAGAAGTTAATATTGTTTATAACAATAGTAGGTTTAATCTACATATGATATTTTATAATATGCTTTTTAAAATTAATGCATGATATAAAGCTTTTCATATCAATAACTATATGACTACATAATCTACTCATTATACAAACATACCATACTCTATTGCTATTTGCACAATTTTTTTCTTTTTGCTATTGTAAACAATGCTGTGATTAACATCCTTCAAACATGTCCTTGTGAGCCTATCCATTAATTTACTTAGGATAAATTTTTAGCAGTAAAATTACAAGTTCAAACAATATGCTCTTAATTAAAACTGTACATTTCTTATTTAAAGTAAAGACTAAAACACCAAAAGCAATAGCAACAAAAGCCAACATTGACAAATGGGATCTAATTAAACTAAAGAGCTTCTGCACAGCAAAATAAACTACCATCAGAGTGAACAGGAAACCTACAGAATGGGAGGAAAATTTTTGCAAACTATCCATGGGCTAATATCCAGAATCTACAAAGAACTTAAACAATTTTTCAATAAAAATTGAACAACCCCATCAAAAAGTGGAAGAAGGATATAAACAGACACTTCTCAAAAGAAGACATTTATGCGGCCAACAAACATAGGAAAAAAGCTCATCATCAATGGTCATCAGAGAAATGCAAATCAAAGCTACAAAGAGATATCATCTCACACCAGTTAGAATGCTGACCATTAAAAAGTCAAGAAACAACAGATGCTGGAGCGGATGTGGAGAAATAGGAACACTTTTACACTATTGATGGAAGTGTAAATTAGTTCAGCCATTGTGGAAGACTGTGGTGATTCCTTAAGGATCTAGAACCAGAAATACCATTTGACCCAGCAATCCCATTACTGGGTATATACCCCAAGGATTATAAATCCTTCTACTACAAAGACACATCCACACGTATGTTTATTGCAGCACTGTTCACAATAGCAAAGACTTGGAACCAACCCAAATGCCCATCAGTGATAGACTGGATAAAGAAAACGTGGCACATATATACCATGGAATACTATGAAGCCATAAAAAAAGGTTGAGTCCATGTTCTTTGCAGGGACATGGATGAAGCTGGAAACCATCATTCTCAGCAAACTATCACAAGAACAGAAAACCAAACACCAGATATTCTCACTCATAAGTGGGAGTTGAATAATGAAAACACATGGACACAGGGAGGGGAACATCACATACCAGGTCTTTTGGGGGTGGGGGACTAAGGGAGGGATAGCATTAGGAGAAATACCTAATGTAGATGATGGGTTGATGGGTGCAACAAACCACCATGGCACATGTATACCTATGTAACAAACCTGCACATTCTGCACATGTATCCCAGAACTTAAAATATTTTAAAAAATGCAAATGCCCAGGAAATATGAACATATATTGGACTTCTCTCTCTTCTTTTTATCTTTTATTTTAAGTTCAGTGGTACACGTGTGGGTTTGTTACACAGGTAAACACGTGTCATGGGGGTTTGTTGTACAGGTTATTTCATCACACAGGTATGAAGCTTAGTACCCATTAGTTACCTTAATCGCTATGTGAATTCACTCATTAAAAGACAACAGCTAGAATTCTATCTCCAAGAGAAAATGTTCTTGTTTCTGGACTTGTCTCTTCATTTGCTTTTTCCATGTCAGCACTTACAGTCATCCTGCCATCAAGGTATGACCACCCAATTGAATAACAATGAAAATCGATATTCGCCACAATGTTCTACAAGATCCTGTATGATTTTTCCACTACCTGTCTCTCCAACTATATCTCATGTTAAATTTCCTTTCTCCCATTGCAAGCTGGCAACAATTTAATTTTTTCCAAATTAATCAAGCTCTTTTCCAGCATGCGATCATCTGCCCTGTGATCTTGTTAACTCTCTTTATTTCTCTCCTGACCTGGCCAATTTTTTCTTGTCCTTTAAAAGTTAGCTTAAATTCCTTTTGTTTTTAATTTGAGGACCTTCTGACTAACTCAGTGAAATCAGGCTTCTTTAATATTTCCTTTCATAGAATGTCAAAGTGTTTCCTCACAGTAGTTCAGACATCTTTATTTCTTATAGTGTCTCTGTATGATTTAGAAAAATATTTCTCCTCCAAAAGATGCATTGAAAAATGTCACCCTCTCTATTGTGAACAAATAATACTTTTTCCTCCAAACTGCCACAACTCCACATCATGACACATGGCTTGGCCATGTGGTCAGCTTAGATTTCTGCCTCCACTTGTGCCCTCTTGCCCAAGCACCTTGTGCAGGACACACCTGTGATGCTTTATACTGATAATGCTTTTCTCTCTCTCTCTCTCTCTCTTTCCATATATATATGTGTGTGTGTGTATATATATATATACACACAAATATACATATGCACATATATGTGTATATATATACACACATATATATACACATATATGTGTATATGTATACACACATATATATACACATATATGTGTATATGTATACACACATATATATACACATATATGTGTATATGTATACACACATATATATACACATATATGTGTATATGTATACACACATATATATACACATATATGTGTATATGTATACACACATATATACACACACATATGTGTGTGTGTATATATATATGCATTTCAGCTCTCTCTCTCTCTCTCTCTCTCTCTATATATATATATATATATATGCATTTAGGCTGTTTCTCCCTACCCCCAACTCTGTTAGATCCAGGAAGTCAGAGACCATGTCATTTTCATTTGCTATTGTATACTCAGAACTCAGTATATTCTGTAGCAGAAAAGGGCACCCAATAAACATTTGCTGAATAAGTAACTATGACCCGAGTTTGTGAAAAGATTGAGATTATTTATTTTTTCTTCTTTTTTTTTCACAGTAGACAGGTATACAGTCTTTCAGCCCCAAGTGTGTAAGGAGAGGATGAGTTCACATGTTTGCTAAATCCCCTTCTATGAATGATAATTTAATAGTCTATTATCTCCTGGTATCATTGCCTGAGAAACATTTCTTCTTTTCTTTCCAGGTGTATTCAGGAAACATAATTTTGCCCCGATAGTTGAGGACAAGCACAGATTCATAATCTCTGGAAAACATGAGGTTGCCATTGGTTATTATCTATGTCATAAGTATAAGAGGTATTGAGACATTCCAAAATTATATATTGAATTTAATTCTAATGGTTACAAAAAAAAATTTCCAAATGTATGTTTAGGAGAAAGGGCAGTGGGGAACATATTGGAAATCTTATTTCTAAATATATCTGTCTTGTGAACATATTAAAAGCCTCAGCCTAAAGTGATGTTTCCCAAATTGTTCACAGGGAATGGAAAAAGCCTTATTTGCTGGACATGAGCAAAAATAGCAGGCTAAAGATTCCATGAAAATTAAGAGATGTTTTGATTCTCTTTGAAAGTAGAACTTTATAAGACTTACCGCCACAAGTGACATGATTTGAGAATTTTGCAGAAACACTGTTGGTACAAATAAATGGATCATGTTTCTGGTCCTGCCTAGAAATGTCATTAGATAGCAATTCACCACTCAAGGGCTATAAATATCAGCCTTTATAATCAGGAGAAAATATGCGATTTTGATCTAGTTACTTCAGATTTCAGATTCTTGGTTTCTTAATATGTAGAATGATGATAAAAATAACATTTATTTGATTGGCATTTCATAGAAATTTATGAAAACAATATCCCATAATACCTAATCAATTAACAAAGTTCAACAGTATTTTACTTCCTTTATTCCTGCCTAATTCTTTCTGTGTCCTTATTCTGGCCCCTCATAATCAGTGGACAAAATAAAAGGGCACAGTCACCTTTCTTTGCCATAGGTCCTGCCTCCTATTCCACAGATAAAAACTTTAGCTTCCTTTTCAACTTCCAGAAACCACTTATTCTTGTTTTCCAGTCAGGACTAACAATATTAGCTGGTTCCTTACTTTTGTTAGCTTTAATATTCTGCATACCCTTCTTGGTTTTCCGCAACTATACCCATACATATGAAATTATATACTCATTAAATCATCCTTAATTTCTTAATTTCAGTGTGCCATATCTTCCTGTCAGGACACTACCCACATCCCCTTTTCCTGCCTTTCAGATCCAATAAGAATAAACTGAACTTTCCTTACTCAATAGTGCAATACAGAGGAGCTACTTTGCAGAAACTGATAATTGAATATTTCAATTCCCCAGATACAAACCTTTTAAACTCAAAGACCAATTTCTATATCCAATGGGTCACCCAAGAAGAAGCCAATAATTCTTTTAAAGAACTGGACCATCCAACCTTCAAGTGGGAAGCAAAATAGAATGCGTGAGTCAAAGCATGGCATCAGAGAAGGTCAGCCCATGAGGGAGTAGTCAACAGGCTAGGCCATAAAGGAAATACTCGGAAACAGTGAACAAGGAAGAATTTCAGAGTGGGATCCAGGAAAGTTATTACTTATCCTTATTAGGTTCTTTCACGAAGGCCCGGAGAAGACCCTTCATCTTTCAATATGGCCATTTCATGAACGTTTGTGTTATAAGTGAGCTGGGTAGTTAGAAGAGACCTTCCCAAATCACTTAACTTCATGTTGGTTACCACATTCTCCCTTAATTGATCAGAGGGATTTTAGCAGGCTTGATTTTAGTGATGAGTTGGTGGGGTACAGTGTGGCAAATTGATTTAATGATCTTATGTATACGTCTCTTTCTAAATAGGGAGTACGAATCTTAGAAAACAATCTTGAGGACCTCTTCATCATTATCCCACAAGAACATTTGTGAGAGTGTTTATAATGCCTTATTAAGGAATTTGGTGCAGAGTGTATGCCATCCTTTGACATTATCCGCATTGGATAAAAGAGAAGAGAGTGATCTTGTTGCAGTGTGATTACAAAAGCATCATTGGTTGCAATCATCATGGTGATTATAAAACCACCCTATTGCTAGAAAAATTGGTTTCTACATTCTTTAATGTAGAATATGCCCAAATATTATAATGTACAAATTTACAAATAATATGAGCCTAACTTACATATTTGATAGGCTATAATAGTCTAGTACTTCATCAATTCAACATGGGACTTTCAGGAACAACTCAAGTAGTAAGAAACATAAAAACATGAAAATGCCTTTTCCCACTGCAAACATTGACAAGATTGTTAAATATTTCTTGCAGGTTTACAGGTCAGTCATACAGTAGCTGTGACAACTCAGTGCAAAACACCTGCATTCCTGTAAATGTTCTTCCTGATGAGATAGACAAATTGTTATAGAACAAAGATTCTACATTCTTTTTATTGAGAAAAAAATTCCAGTATTGTCTTTACTCCATTTAACAAACTTCAAAATTATTTTCCAATTTTCTTATTTATTTTGGTCACAGAAAATGTGGTCATATTAAAATGTGCATCTTTTTGAGTGAATAGAAGATATTCATACTTACAAGCTAGAAGAGATTTCTGAAAAATGTTGGGCTAATTGTTGTTAAGCCAAACAAAAACGTTTCCTTCAACTGTGGTTTACTTGATACCTTGATACATCAAACAAAAAAATATTGGGAAGTAAGATAAAGTGATGTCAGTGATAGTGATGATGAAAGATCTGTGGCAACGTGTGCTGATTTTTCTCTTCATTCATGATTGTTAGCCTCACCAACTGTTAGCATCTGTGGAGTCCAGTTTGAGAGCAAGTTTCTTTTACAGAGGATGACACTAAACAGGTCACTGTAACTTAAAGGATTACAATCTAAGGACTGTGTCAGATAAATCTTTATTTTCCTCAAAGTACTCAATCATTTCCGTGTTCAATAAACATGACAAATAAATGCTTACTTGGAATTGAGTTACTATTTTATTCGTTTCCCACCCCCTCAATAGCCATTGTTATCTAAAGACAATATAGATGTTGAACTAGCTTGATTCTTTTTCATCTCCAACATATTAACCTTTTAGGACTATTTTCTTTATTTGTAACATAACTCACTCAACACACTTTGCCACTTTTATGAGAAGGCTGCTTAACTCCTGGGGGTTTAACATCTGATCTCTGTGCCCAATACTGTGATGAGAACCTAAGGATAAATATAGTGTCTGTAGTTAGGTACTAATAGGAAGAAGGACATTTCTGAGTGTCTTCAGCAAAGGCCATTGAAGGAGAGAATCTTATTTTGACAAAAGGAAAGGGAGAGGATTTGGATGAGTAAGCTAGGGTGAATTACATTGGCATGGAGGTCATTGATTAATATAACAAGGCCATTCTTCTCCATCATCGACCTTAAAACCAGCCTAGAAGTTTCTTTTGAGTAGGATATATGCTCCAGGAAAACCTGAAACACCCACAAACTCTACAATTATATACTGAACCAAATTAAAAACGACTACAAAGAGCAAAATTCAAATAAGCAAAAATAAATATTCTTGGATATGTATCCTCGTAAAATGTATATTTCTGTGGATTTGTTTTAAATCCACAGAAATTTACATGATTAGGAGGCCATTTTAGGATCTTGGCCATTCTAGGATGTGATGTTTTAGGATGTTTACTTGATAATAGAGATTTCCAAAAATTGACGGAGAAGAAGATTGGAGACAGAGTAGACATAGACTACTGCAATAACCTATGTGAACAATCATTGTTTCACAAATGCCCTCTTCTCAATGGGGAACTAATCCTAAAAAAACAAGCTCAACTTCTTGCACATTGATTTCTCCAGCCATCTGAACTTCCTTGACCTTTTCTCTTTTCTGAATGTCAATTGACAGCTTCCCCACACTTTGCCTCTTCCTTTACATACTGTCATATGTGGTAGGTCACATCACCTAATTATCTCAGTGTGTTAAATTTATCTCTCCAATTAGCTCTGTGTGAACAAGGTCTGTGACTTATCCTACTGCTTTATTCCCAATTATGCTCATCACGGAGCTATGTGCAGTGTAGATGCTCAATAAATAGATGGTGATATCCTGAATATGATCCTATTACAAGGAAGAAAATTATATTAGATTTGATCATATCCCTTCATGTCTTTAAAATCCTCAGTTTCTCTATTGATTCTAATAGTAATGTCTATCGATTCCAATAGTGATGCATAAATTTTATTTACAAAATACATCTATTTAGGAAGATAACATTGGTTATTCAGTGAACAAAATCATAATTAACTAACTATATTTAAGAAATCCAGGAATAAACCAAATAAACCATTTTATTGCAATAGGATTTCTAAGAGCTTTTAGTTTGTAAATATAGATTGTGACCTCTAAGAGAGAGATAAATAGTCTGGGCATTTCAACAAATGTGAAATATACTAGAAATCCAAACTTGTACTGAAAATACGTATCTAAATCATATGGGTTCCTGTTCTGCACAGCACAATTTCATAGGCTGGAGTTCCTATTTTAGTCTAGATTCTTTAGTACATACACACTTTCACAGTCAGAATACCACCCATCCTCACTGTAATACTTCCTTTCCTATACCAAACACCAAGTCCAAGGAACATATTATTTACTGATTTTTCTAAGCATACCTAATATTATCTTATTTTTATTTTAGTATCAATTTGTTTATTAGACCTCAAGTGCAAGTAGATGAGCCACTTTTTCTCAGGTAAGCAAAAGTAAATATTATTGGATATGTATCTTTGTAAAATGTATATTTCTGTGGATTTGTTTTAAATTAATATAGATGTTATTTCATCACAAGTTTTATTCTGCAATTTACATTTTTAATTTGACATAATTTTTCAGAATGAATACATGCTAGCTTGAGTGCATTTATTTTATTATGTCTAAATGCCCGATAGTAACTCTTAGTATTTATTAAGAGGACATAATATCCATCCTCCTAGTGCAGACGCATTCAGTGCCTCTAGCACCTCACTTTTAAAAAAAGGCATAATAAATAACACTGAACATACTCACTTAGGAATCTGTAAGAGTTTCTCTGGAATTTACCCCATAATGTGGCATTGCTGGATTACAGAAGAGATGCAATGTATGAATCTTCTCAGTCTTAATGTTTTCACTAACACTTGATAGTATCCACATTTTTATACCCATCCCATAAATTTAGAGTGATAGCTTACTGTTTTACATTTGCATTTTTGAAAGCAAACTAGTTTGAGTTTTGGTTCATTTACTTGGGCTTGCCTCTGTACCTGCAGCAAGATTTCCATATATGTTTTTATTGCTCATTTTTTTGTGCATTGTCATTTGCTTGTTTTATTTTTCATAGCTTGGTGGTAAGTTTCTTTTACCTGGTAGTGTAATACTATTCCTTCCTTATCTCTTCACTAGTCTTACTTAAATTAAATTATAGAGCTCAACAAATAATAAAATCAAATTTAAAAACAAAATATTGAATTGGTTACAAATTTCTGTTAACATTTTGATTATAATAGAATAAAAATTACTAATATAATTGACATCATTAGCATTTTCCTTTCATCAGATAAATCATTCAGATTTAGCGGCATTGCTGAAATACTTGCTTAGTAGTCATAGTTTGTCTATTTACTCTGTTAACTTTCTATGTGTATGACAATATTATCTGTAAATAATGGCACAGTTCCCCTCTTTTCTATAAAGCTTTAAAGCTTTGTTCCTGCTTCAGCATTTCTTTGGATATTGGTGGTAGTCAGGACTTGGAATATTATATTGAACCAAAGCAATGTGGACAGCCTTTCTTTTCTTATTTTCATCTTAAATAAATTTCCCTTACAATTCTCTATTAACTACTTTATTTAGTATAAAATTTGGGTTGATTACCCTTTATCAATTTAAGGACATTCTCATTTATGCAAAATGCTTAGTTTTCTGAGGGTTTTTATCTTAAGTAGATCATGAACTTTACCACACTTTTTAAAAATACACCTACAGAAATGTTCATATGTATGTATTTTTGTCTTTGATAGTCAATTAACTATTTTATAAAATTATCTTTCTATTCCTAGGACGAACCATATTAAAACAAGAGGTATTACTTATTAATACACTGTTAGTTTCTATTGATGTTTTCATAGCAAAAATTAGTGTATCTGTAATTTTCTGTTTTTACTTTATTCCTGCCAGGTTTTAAGACACACACAACGCATTTTCTAGACTCTGGGTCTTCAGGCCTTCCTGCCTCGCACTTGTGATATCACCTTTGTATGTTCCATCTCTCTCCATAATGACTGATGGAATTCTTAATTTTTTTTTATGGCGTAGCTCAGTAAGTATGTTTCTATCCATAAACTCATTAAACATTCATTATTTTGAATCAGTATTTTTATGGCAATTTGAAAGTACTAAAACATGCATATTTTATATGTATATATATATATATATATAATGCTATTATTTTAAAAACAAGAGCTGTGTCAAACTACTACAGAAGACAGTAATCTCTGAAGAAAAAGGATGTCTTTCTATCTTTGTCCAAGCCCCACACATGTAGCACAGGGCTTATAGCATAAGTGCATGACAGATTAGATGCATTCTCATAAATAAGCTTTTAATATAAGAATTTCTTATACTTACTCTGCATAAGACTTTTCTCTCCCAACGGATATTGCTTCAATTCTACGCACCCGACATTAATTAAGTGCCAAACCCCTAAACTTCCAAACAACCAGATAACTTTATCAGTAAGTAGCAATAAACCAACAAAAATGATTTGTTTGAGTGTGTTTCTTTTGTAATTTTTATCATACCTAAACCACAAAGACCAAATGTTTCTTCTCTTGAGATTTAGTATTCAGTCCAAAGAGAAAGGATATATCTCTGGAAAGCTTTCTGGACAATGTATTATGTTTATAGAGAAAGCTATATGTGTCTTTTTTTTCTACTTTTAGGTAAGCATACATTAAAGTTTTCGAGATATTATCTCCTCATTTCCACTAACTAATATTTCCAGTAAGTGAATCCATCATACTTCAGCCGAGAATGAACAAACTAACTGAAGTGGAGCCTTTATTTTTTTAATTTCTGGAAATCTAAAATATATAAAATTATCAGTCTGACTGACCTTTTCTTTCTGAAATGTATCATGTCTCTTGTGACCTTCATTGACTCAGGTATTGATATATAGAAAAAATCAAAGTGTAGCAATGTTTTCTAGATGATCCCTATGATGGTAAATTTTATATGGCAACTTGACTAGGCCACAGGATGCACAGATTAGACATTATTTCTGGGTGTGTCTGTGTTGGTGTTTCCACATAATGTTAGCATTTGAATCAATGGGCTCAGTAAAGTAGATTGCCTTCCCCAATATATATGGGTCTCATCTAATACACTGAAGGCATAAAGAACAGGAAGGGGAGAATTGTTCCCTTTTTTTCTGCCTGTTTCATCTGGAATATCTTATTTCATCTTCTCCTGACTTCAGACTGGGATTTACATCTTATCTCCCTTGATTCTCAGGCCTTAAGACTCAGACAGAACTGCAATACTGGTTTTCCTCCAGCTTGCAGACAACAGATCATAGGAGTTATCCACTACCATAATCTCATGAGCCAATTCCTCCTAAAAACTCTCTCTCACCAAATGGCTCTGTGTCTCTGAAGAACCCTGACTAATACAGTCCCTAACATATCCCATGTAAGAATTTCTACAAAGACTCTTATTTCTATTATCCTTTTCTGTTGTCCATTATTAGAGAAGTTAGGAAGTCAGCCTTTGATAAACAAATTCACTTCTCATCTTCCTAAACTTTGTAATTGTCCCCACGAATTACATAGTTTTCAAGCCAAAAACTCTAGGAGTTATTTTTAGATTCCATCTTCATTTTGAGCATGTAATTCAACTACTGTTACTACCAATTTTATATCCAAAATATATGTGAATTCTGGGTATTTCTTCTATCTGTATTACCACTCCATAAATTCAAGATAATATGTTCCTTGGCTTATGATAAAAATCTTCTATCTAGGTTTCCCACTTTCATTCATGTCTCCTACAATCTGATTTTCATATAGAGCCAGAGTGATTATTTTTAAAATAGAAATCAGATCATATCATACCCCAGCTTTTAGATCCCTTCAATTGCCTTCTCTTTTACATTAAGTAAACATGAGCTTCTTATCTTGGTTGACAAGAACCTGGATAATATGGTCTCTTCCCAGGTTTCCACATCTGTTGCATCTCTTTCACCTTTAACCACTATAATCTGGACCTCATATTCATTCTTGTATATGCCACTGATTCAGTCCAGCAGAACAACTAACATAAACATTCCCAAACCCTTTACTATGGTTTTCCTTGATTACAAAAACTTCACATGGCAACTCAAATATCATTCTGTCCACTGTAAGTAAAACATTTAGTTTCCCATCCATCTGTTTTGTTCTATCGTATCAAGTTTTTTTTATTTCCATTTATTTACATTTCTTCCATTTTACCAGCTCTTTGAAAAAAAAAAAAAAACCTTCTCTGTCTTTTCAATGCTGTATTCCCAGCACCCAAATGAATGGGAAATCTTTGGTACGTATTTCTTAAATAAATAAGGATACTGATTGTTTTTGTAACTTGGAGAATTTCATACATTGAGAAACACAATAATGAAGCCAATTGAGAGATCCCCTCACATCACCATTTATTTTCAGGTGTCAGGACCTCAAACTAGCATTACTTTTTGATACTCCCTGTCTAAGATTTGCTTCCCTCCAGGACTCATTCTAACACAGCCTCAAGAAAGATATCTTGTCTTGGTAGACTTAGATAAATATTCTTTCTCTGTGCTTTAAAAACACTGTCTGCTCAGTTCTTCCACAGGATAGCCAAATCAAATGTTTTATCATTCATTTGCTTCTATAATTTATCTAATTTAATTCCATGTCTTGAAAGGCAAGAGAAGTGTGTTGGGTATATCCTTTTACTGTTACTAGCATAGTACCTAGTATGTATTTTATAGAAAAGAATTTTTATGTTTAAAGCTCTTTCTTAAAGTTTATTTGCAATATCATTATGTATAAATAATTATTATTTATAAATTTTGGCTCTAACATTGAGCCAAAAACATCCATTCACATACTCAACAATCAGACTTGACAAAGATGACAGCTCTCGAACTTTAGAGGTTAAGTTAAAGAAAAATTAGAAAACCATTCGACATATTTGTAGTTAAAGCAGAGTAACGTTGGAAAGGTGGGGGGGGTGATCCCAGTGACTCCTAAATTGTCATGTTCCATCTTAGAGCATAATTGTTAAAATCTTCCTCTTATTTGTGAGGGATCATAGGATGGCCTGAAGTTCTTTGCATGTACAGAAGAAATCCCAAGAAATTAACATTTGGCTTTGGGGGGTGATCCCAATGACTCCTAAATTGTCATGGTCCATCTTAGAGCATAATTGTTAAAATTTTCCTCTTATTTTTGAGGAATCATAGGATGGCCTGAAGTTCTTTGCATGTACAGAAGAAATCCCAAGAAATTAACATTTGGCTTTGGTGACCTCTCATTTCCTTTTCTGGTCCTGACCTCTGAGTTCATTGAAGCCATGGTTTTCCACAGTCTTTCTCTTCAGACAGCATCTTGTGATATTCCTCCTAGCAACCCTCTTCTGTAATCTGTGGATAATAATAGAAATATCTATTATCTATTAGTAGGGATACTTGCAAGAAATAATACTTGCATTCAAGATGTGAATTAGATGGTGGCAGGTAACTCAAGTTGGGGAAATAGTACCCAAAGGCACTATTTTCACCAGCAAATGCCTACTAACCTTGAGACCTAGATGAAACTTCCACACATAAAGGAAGGAGGAGAATACATACAAAAACACTTACAACATTACAACTCAGGAGATGACCCCAAATACCAGCATGTAATTTCTGTTTCTCTCACATATTTGATGTGTAATTTAACCCTGAAAATTCCTTATAACGTTTCTGAACTTCATTTTTCCTATCCATAAAACACTACAATTTGGCAAACCTAGAGTTTCCTATAAGCACCTAATTTCTGGATCTTTCTGAATGTCCAAAAGTGTGCCATTGGTGCTTTTTATAATTTTCCCTTTTAGTATTTGGAAAAGCTGTGATTTCTGTTGCACCCATTCTTGAGTTCCCATCTTTTTGGAAAATTTCACCGTGACGTCTTCTTGAGTCTTCCCATATGGGGTCCCTTACTTCCTCCTCAGTACTTCCATAGCACTATATATAACTTAGTTTCTATTTCTTATCATCAAAAGTCTCATAATTACAGAGATAACTGTTTAGTTGAAAGTTAAGGGGATTTAGTGTCAGATCAACCAAACTTAAACCCAGACTCAAATAGTATTTATCCATAGATAAAAAAAAAATTCAACAATTAGTTCTTATGAGATTGATTAGGTACATTTTATAAATAAAGAAAATAAGTTTGAGAATGCTACTGTATTTAATCTTTCTGTATCAACCATGTAGCTTAATTTCTGTACTGATAGATACTCAATAAATGTGACAGACAAAATTCTTTTTCCTCAGATAGTCCATCAAGTCAGGAAATTTTTAAATTTTATGTCCTCCATAACGCTAGGTCTGTGCTCAAAATACTAGGACTAGAATATCTTCAATAGCAACAGTATACCATGTAATCCATAAATTTGTGTTGACTAAAACTACAATGACAATAAATGTATTTTTAAATGATAGATCATAAAGACATGCTCTTCTACAATTATCATAAGAAGCAATAATTACAAGGGCAAATAATACATTCAACACTGTTTGGCTGAGTAACAGTGCAAAGACACTTTTTATAGCAAATAAAACAGTATTGAAATTGAAAAAATATAGAAAAGTATTTCCTGCAAAGTATATTCTACAATTATTTTGTCCACAAAAAAATACAATGACATTTAAAAAGTCTAAGTACAGCCTCACAACGTGACATATTTAATTCTAATCCCAGGTATTATGAGCCATTATTCTGTTCACAAATAAAAAGCTGCTTTTAAAACCCTTTACCCTCAATTCAACTTCTTTCAAATTCAAGGTTAGATTCATGAAAACAGAGAGCCACAATTTCAATTTGTTGGCAGTGCGTGAGATTATGAGATGAAAAATTAAAACTATAAATTATCCCCAGTAACTGAATTGTGTATATATGTGCATATTTATATATATGAATATATTTATAAATATATGTATAAGGATATATATATTCTTTTTAATGTTGATATTCATGTTTAAGTTGTGCATTTATAGAGCTTTTATAGTGATGCCCGCTGTTACCTTATCTTTTTGACTGACAATGATAGGATTTCAGTCATGCTCAGCCTTTCCGACAGTGCCAGTGATGGGATTTTTTTGAAATCTTATTACTGGTTACACTGCCCTGATCTCAGATGGAACTTTCAATCAAAAAGGCAATCAGAAGGTTATACATTCGTGAGATTCCCTGCAAAGCCAGTGATCGCATAATACAACTTGTTGGAAGGGCCTACTTGCCTTCAGTCCTTATGTGGCTATAAAGAGTAATTGGCTACTTAGCTCTCAGCACCCGCTTTTCCTTTTCCAAAATACAGCATAGCCCAGAACTCTGTTGAGTCTCAGTGTGGAATCCAGCTGCTCCTAGGAGATTTCTAAGTCTCATGCAGAGACTTGTCTTACTTTAAGCATCTGATTAAGCAGACTCTCCCAAAGACACATTTGTATCTTTCTAAGCATTCTTGCTTCACTGGTGATACCAGTAAATCTAAGTTTCCTTTTCTTCTATATATACACATACACTTAACTGCAGATTTTTTTCAAAACAGTTTCACTTTAAAGTTTACACCCTAGAAGTCATAATTCTGTGTGGCAAGGTTAACACTTGAATTTAAAAATAGCATATTTTAGTCATCGTATTATAAATGTTTAGAAACTTATAACTATACTCATAAAAATATTGTTAAGAAATGCCCCCCTTAATACTCTTTAATATTCATATATGGATGTTTAAGAGACACTTTGCTAATATGATTTGATCAAATCATAGGCAGAGTAGAGGCTGAATTGATCCCATGTTGTGTCCAATCACCCAGGGATGCATCAGTTCCCTAGGTGGGAACCTTGAATTGTGAGGTAGGCAGAGGGAGATAACTTTGTCTCACTTGGCTCCAACTTAATCATTCTTCTCTATTTAGCAGAGAGTACTCTTGTTTCTGCTATGTCAATGTTGATGAAACAGACAACAATGCACATAGCTTTAAAAATATAGTCATTTCAATAAAGTTTTTAAAATGTGTTATTTAACAAATTGAGCATGGGATACTTAAATCTTAGAAAATGTTAGGAACCTTATTGATATCTTTTGGTTGGGAAAGTCCTGGCAAGTCTATTGCTAAAGTAAAACTTCAAGTCAAAATGTGTGTTTTTTATTTGTTTGTTGTGTGTGTGTGTGTGTGTGTGTGTGTGTGTGTGTGAGAGAGAGAGAGAGAGAGAGAGAGAAAGAGAGAAAGAGAGAGATAGTTCCTGAGATTTTTAGTTTAATTCATGACACTCTAAAAGTATAGGTCAATCTTATTAGGATCAAGGTATTAGTCACTTTATTCTATGTTACAAGACCTGAAATAGGCTTTTAAACACAAAATGCTGACACTGTGGTGGCAAAGAAAGTCAGCAAGAGATGCAAGCTTTCATTCTGTGTTCCTAGGCAAAGAGAATACTTAGGCGATATTTGGGCAACTAGTAGAGCAGACATTATCTCCTGCTCACAGAAACCACTGTACGAAGATTATCCTGTTGATTACCAATATTTGAGGATACAGATTTTATACTCCTTAAAAAATACTGTAATTATTCTGTTAGACATATTTGTGTGTCTATAATCTTTGGGCACTTCAAAGTACACTAGAAATGAGTCTGGTGTTCAAGAGATACATAAAACATAATAATCTCTCCTTGGTTTGGAAGGTGTAAGATAGTTGGAATATTACTATTGGTTATTACTGCAACTACTACTAATAATTTACATTCACCAAGCACTTGTTTTAGACACTGTGCCAAGTCCTAGTATATTTTAAAGTCATGTTGGACCATCCCTTTGACCTCAAGAAAAAGTGTTCACTAGCCGTAATAATACGCATAAAAGATGACTTATTCTCAGCAACAGAAACTCAATAAAAAGTTGATTAAGCCACCGGATAGTTATAAATTGTTAGTATAGTATTTAAACATGCAGTTTCTGTCACAGTGAAGGTGGCCTCTAGAAGTTGGTGCGTTCAGCTTTTGAGTCAAAAACCGTTCTCTTCTTAGCAGCCCCGCACCAATGACTGAGATGACAGAGGACCACAGCCTGACTGCTTTAATGGATGTGTTTTCACTCTAGAACCCCCTGTCAGACTGGCAGAGATTTTGCCAGGTCCGCACTGCAGTCTAAGACTCTCTTGCCAAATCCTGCTCCCAATCCCTCTATTGTTACAAGTTTTAGGTCTGCAAACTTGTCTGAAGGTTTTCCCTGCCCAATGCGTCTGCTTCCAGAAGGACCCAAATGACACAGCTGGACTAGCCTTTAGGTGTTCCATGTTCCTCTTATGTCCCTGCTGGTATCTTGCTGTGTGATCACTGGCAAGCCATTTCTCTTCTCTGTTTCTCTATAATAAAGAGTCTTACAAACAAAAGTGACCCTTGGGATGATTTGGTTGAGTATTCTAGAATTTTAGTTTGAGTTGATGATTCTGTTAATAGATCTTCCACTGATTGAAAAAAAAATTAATGACAACAAAGGTATTTATAAAAATATATTTCACAAAGTAGGAAACAATACAGGAGTTTCTCTGAATACAATACATGGAGTGAATAAACAATATTGCATTAAAGCAAAGTAGAAAATTAAAATGATCTGCATGTAATACTTGAGTTTTATCATACATTTTCTACTCCTAAATGGCAGGTTTGCATTACAAATTAAATATGCTCACATCTTCTAGTGCTGTTCCTTTTTGGAGTCTAAGACATTCTGTGCATCACCATGAAGATCAGGGATAGGAGTGCTAAAAACGTAAACAGTGAAATTATGTACAAATCAGTTCCTGCTCTAAAACTGTGGGGGTAAATTGAAGCATGTTTATTGGGCAGGGCATGATGTAGGTATCTAAAAGTCTAGAGTTTAAATATTCACAGGAATCAATATACTTTAGGATGTTTGTGCTTGTAGTAAAAACACCAAATACTAGGATTATGAACAAAATAGAAAACAGTCCAAAAGTTTGTCTGGGAAGATGCTGTTCCTGCCATCTCCAGTTACAATAACACTTTCTACTCTAAAGAGACTATTAGCTCTCCTTTCGATAATATTGCCTGCCATACTCATCTCATCAAAATGTACATGTATTAAACATTCATTGTATATATATTTATATAAAACAATCTAAAGGATTATTAATGGATATAATTTAGTTTTTTCCCATATATCCCCTTAATCTATAGATTACCGACCTTAATAAATAAAAGCATTAATGGACATCAATAAAATATTTATTTCGAGGATTAAACAAATAAATTCACGCGCTAGCAATAAAACCATCTGTCTCTTATGTAGTCCACTGTGTGATACAGTTTATCTTTGTGTCCTTGTGGAAGAAGATGAAGAGGAGGGAACGAGGAATCCTGCTTCTAGAAAACAAGCATGTTTGAATGGGATTTCTCTCCTCCCACCACTGAATTGGCAAGCCCCACCCTGGAATGGATTACGAACATGTGAATATTTTAAGGCTCGACACAATATTTAAAGATGCTATTCAGTCTCTAGTGAGTGGGGCCAACAATTATGTACAATGTGTGGTCACCGTACTGTATAATCTAGGAGGCCTCTCAAAACTCCAAAAAGTTATAATGTACAGCAGACCAAGTATTGCTTTATCATTTGTGGCGGGATCCTTATTGGTGAAGGGGAAAAAACCATTTGCATTCATAAAAATCCTTGCAGAAGACACATATCAGCAGCAGATTCCTTGCAGGTCCGTATTTTTTTTTCTAAGAAAGCACCTTTTAATTATGATTTTTTCCTCTATTTAAACCATTTATCTAAGGATTAGCCAGGATCCCAATCTTTGTCTGTGGTGGTCAGGTAAATATCAAATATCCAAGGACTTCTAGACACTCCACATACTTAATTCACACTCCACAAGATTTATAACCTCCTAACATATACTTTTTTATTTTATTATCTTTTTTTGGTTCAACATTAAAATGTGGTTGAGTTTATAGATGACTGGTGCTAAACTTGCCTCTAAAACAAATAGCCACATTGGTTGTATCTAAGGGGAGTGACCCTAGAATATTACAGAATGCTCAGTTCCAGTGATTTATTTATAATCCACTGTCAAGTTTCTTTGTCACTTTCACCAACAGAGTAGAGTTCGCCCAGTCTCTTAAAGCGGGGACCCCAGTCACTGAGGTAGTCAAAATTCTGGTCTGAGTCTGATGTGGTGGACTCCAAGGAGCTGAGGGAGCCAGCCACTGACCCTCGGCCTTCATAGCCATATATCTGAATGGAGTCATATGGCGGGGCCGTGGGATCATTATCTGCCTCATGCAGCCTTACATTTATAAATTCATCGACATCAACACCATTTGGAACTGGAGCAAGCCCTTGCCTTGGCATAAACTGCAAATCTGGTTTAATATCCTTACGGGGTAAAAATCCATTAATTCCATCTGGATTTTGTAAAGTTGCAATGTCAAAAGCCTCTGTGTCCTCCTCCCCTCCTCCTTCATCATCGTAGCGAATGATGTTTTCTCGAACGTCTTCATCATCTTTGATAATTAATGGTTCATTTTTATGCCGCCGTAGAGTTACAAACAGCACCACGATGACTAGAGGAAAAATATTAAATAACAGTCAGCCAAACAAGCATATAATTTCACAAGCAACACACTATATATGTTAGGAGAGAGGGGTATTTTTACAAAATTGTATGAGCATACACCTTTAATAATATTTACTAGAAAATTAAGCTAAACATCTTTCTGAAGGATGAACATTAAATTTTGAGTAAATACTGTTCCAGATTATTGGCTTATTAAATGGTGATAGAGCTGGGTTAAAAGAATTGGCATGCATGTATTCATGGTGAAAGTTACATTTTATGCTTTTATGATCATTAGAGTGAGTGGCACAAAATAGAAAATAGCACTGAAAGTATGACTAGCTTGATATGTGTTTCAAGCAAGTCCTTTAACATCCTTTGGTTCCAAAGCTCCCTTCTATTAAAAAAAAAGGAGTAAACTAGGTCCTTGGGCTTTCACAGTTTTTCAAGGCACTCTCCAATTAAATTATGTTCTTTTATAAAAAAGTGAATGTCAAATTTGCATGGGCAACTTGTCTTGTGGGAGGGCTGGAATGCCTCTAGCTGGGAAGAGAAACCTGAATGTGAGAAAAGGGCAAGGAAAACATACCCAACTAGTCAGATGGGCCAAATCAAATGTGGGCTAATGGAGCAAAATATGTCATCAAAGTGATGCTTAAATCCAAGACACTGGGTGAGAAAGACAGATGGAACAAGAAAGACAGTAACTGATACCGTCTTTATGGTGTTTTGTTCCTCAAGGGTAGTATAAGATACGACTCTCATGTTTTTCTATTTTCCTACTGTATAATCGCATTGTTATAATTGGACTTTTTTAATTAAAAGGTTATAGAATCTTAATTTGCAATCATCATTTTAAATTGATGTTTATATGAAGGAAAATATCAGAGAAATGCAATGGTATTTTGAAGAAAACTTATTTTTAGTTTGCTCATTTGCTTTCTTTTTATATCACCAAATTTGGGATCCGATGGACTCAGCAACCCAAACTACAATGAAACACTATTGTGGACATAGTAGAGCCTGCTGTTGCAGTGAACTGGTGTGCCTCACACCCAGAGTTCTTCTTATGCACTAGATGGTGTTGTAACGACGTAAAAGCCCTTCTCCACTGCCACCACCATTATGCCTTGTTCATCGCTTTATTGGTGATGGAATTGAAAAAGGCACTGAAAGTCCTCTTCATTTGGACATTTACTATCACAACCCTTTTTCTCTTCACTTATTAGAGATCTCAAAATGTGGAGAAGGAAAGGAAGTTCCTCTTCCCCAACGGAATGCTCTTGCCTGTGTAGATCAGAGTTTTCTGTCCTTATTTACAGTCATTTATGAATCAGAAAAAGGGTGACCGGTAGGCTATGAAGGAAATACGTACCTAACAGCAAAATGATGCATGCTAATATGGCAATTAAGGCGCCCATACTGAGTCCAATTGGAAGGACATAAGCTTCGACATTGCAAGACTGGACGACACCGTCATTGCTGCAGCCACAGACCCTGATTGTCAAGGTGCTAGTGCTGCTCAGTGGAGGATTTCCACTATCACTGATTATGATTGGTAAAAGATAGACTTCTTGCTTCTGGCGGTTGAATCCATTATGCTTTGCCAAAATACTGAGGGAATTATCTGAAAAAAGTAAAAATTACAATAATTTGCATCATTTCAAAATGACTCTCCAAATAACACTTGTTTTTCTAGTTCATGAACCCTTTGCAAACCTCAAGACAATCCCGACTTCAAAGGACTGCTCAGGCTTTTTCCCTGACTCGTCTCCGCACTTTTTTTTTTTTTTTTTGAGACGGAGTCTCGCTGTGTCACCCAGGCTGGAGTGCAGTGGCGCTATCTCGGCTCACTGCAAGCTTCGCCTCCCGGGTTCACGCCATTCTCCTGCCTCAGCCTCCCGAGCAGCTGGGACTACAGGTGCCAGCCACCACACCGGGCTAATTTTTTGTATTTTTAGTAGAGACGGAGTTTCACCGTGTTAGCCAGGATGGTCTCCATCTGCTGACCTCGTGATCCACCCGCCTAGGCCTCCCAAAGTGCTGGGGGTACAGGCGTGAGCCACTGCGCCCGGCCTGCGCTTTTTCAATCAGCATGGACCAGGACAACCATAACAGGTTGAATGAATGGGACCCCCTGACGGACCAACGGAGTTTTACCGTCATCACCTTAAAAATGCAAAATATTTCTTTTACAAAAATAATCTTTAAGTGTCCCTTCCGAAGACATATATTATCTCATCTCCATATACCATATATAAGCTTTATTTTCTTTATTTAGCCTGATAATAGGTTAAGCAAATTTGATTGAATAAAATGTCATCATATTTGAAACACATGTTTGAGAAGCTCTGTATTAAAAGATAGACTGTATGACAACACAGTTGCAAAACAATGCACTTTGTTGATTCCCACAAGTACCTAAAAAGAAGGTCATTCATGGCCTAGAGCATTCACATTAAGATACAGCAAAAGCCCTATTTACTACCCGGAGGAGATATGCCACATACATTAAAATTCTGTAGAGAAGATCTATAGTGGTTACATAATAAGAACAAAATGAGAAGTCATAAAAGCATGTGATCCATTTTGCAGGTGTCGGTTAATTATATGGAGATATATACTGGTTGTCTGGAGCAACAGTTAAGCAATACTTAAGAATATACTTCAGTTCAAAGTAAAACTGGTCAGTGAGAAGTGATTGGTCCCACATTAGATACACAGTTCTCAAACTTTCACCCCCAAGTTGAAATATTTTGTTGTCATTCATCCTCATCTCATGAATTGCAGTCACATTGTATATAATAATTGCTAACCTGCTTTCTCATGTTGATTACTGAAAGATATACATTTACTCAAAATGGAAATGCTGATTAACTCTCACTGATATTACAGCCAAAAGCAAATAAACACAATTTTGGTTACTAAGTGCCTAGTGTTATTTGGGCAAAATAATTATTTGTTTTTTTTTTTTCAAATATTGGCCAATTATAGACCCCCGAACACAGGGCTACCTAATCATTGCATGTAATAGTAATGATTCCAAACCATTGCCATCCAATTTCTGATCATCAGTATCCTATTGGTTTCCAAAATACTTAACTAAGTGAGATATCCCATTCAGATGACTTCAAATAAGTTTTGGAAAACTACTGTACCATATAGCACTATACTAGGATTTCCAAAAATTGATAGCCATTCTCCAAAATGGATATATAGTTATATTTAATTTTGCTTTGTTTAAGATATAAACAGGCCTATAATGCTTTTCTAATAAGCAGTCAAATAGAAAAAGCACTCTGATTTAACAATTGTTTTCTGAACTTCTTCTGGTTGTACATCATTATATAGTAATTTGAATATACTGAGAAAAAGAGATTTCTAATGGAGTTAAGCAGTTATATACCAAATGATCCAGTAATCTTTATTGTCATGACCTAGATGGAAATACCAGTAAGCTAAAAGCAAGGAACATTATCTCAAAACAGATATAGAATATATAGTTGTGTTATATTTTCAGAAAGTATGTGACAAGTTTGAGTACAGCTAATTAGTACAAAGAACATTTCTGGATGGTTTTATACATGATAGTTCAAAACAAAAGATAGAATTTGTTCTTCAAGGAACAATTAATAAAACTGAAATGAGGCTATTGTCTTTTTGTGGTTGACATTTCTATGAGAAACAATCTTTCCATATTCTCCTTTTGTAACAGACTATTATAATAATTTAGAAACTGCAGCAGGAATATTGCTTGCTGCAGAACAAAGCTATCTTCTTTACTACTGAGAAAAGCATTGGTGGGTCTAACACTAAATTCATACTTCTATAAATATTTTTTTACTAATCCTGGAATTTGCCTATCTTGCTCTCCTTTCTACACGCAGAAGACTGTTGACTGAGTAAAGAAAATCTATGAGTTATTCTTGCTAAATTTTACCTGCCAGTTCCAGGCAACATCAATTCCTTTTTTACCTACTCATCTATTTTTGTTTTTGTTTTTGTTTCTATTTTTGGATTGGTAATTGTATTTGTTTTCAATTTACTTGAGTTCTTTCATTAGGCTGAATGAAATTGCCATTATTTTACACATCAAAAACCATAGAATATTAGCAGTTTCACAAAGCTCTAATTACTGTTCTTGGAATAATTTTTTATATCTTAAATGTTGTAAATATCTTCTACAAAGTTGTGGTTTCTGCTGTAACACTCATGATGCCTTTTCATTTCATTTAAATTTTTGAATTTAATATAGTTTATTTTGCCAATCTCTTATAATTAGTGTTTTCAAGACTTATTTTAAAAATTCTTAATTATATAAAATTATTTTTTGGTTGTTGTATTAATTCGATTGTTTTCTATACTAAAAATTGAGTTTCTCAATGTTAATTATGGAGTAACTTATAACTTACCTACTGATCATCAAAGATCATTTCTCACAAATGAAATTTTTATGCATCCTCATTCTTTTAAGAGGTCTTTATTCTGTTTCAATAATCTGATTCTCTAACCCTCCATGAATACCCTGTTTCTTATGTATGAAAACTTTATCATAAATCTTGGTGTTGGTTACAGCATTTTCTCATACCGTGTTCTTTAAGAATATTTTGGCTATTATTGTTCATTTGCTATTCTTGGAAAAATATAGAATCAGATTATAAAGTTTTATAAAAATTCCTATAAGAAACTTGGTAGAAGTTATATTGAAATATTAACCAATTTTGAAATAATTACATCTTTATCATCAGTTTTCTATATTAAGAGAGTTATTTCTTAATGTTCTTCAATATATGTCAGTGAAATGTTTTTAGCTTATAAAAATGTCCACATCTTTTGTTAGATTTATTTTTGCTGCTGTATATAGTTTATTGTGATAGTAAACCTGTTTAAAATTTAGTTACCTTTTTAAAAATATATTTTCAACTCACTGCTGCTGGTATATAAAATTTAATTGTCTTATACATTGATTTTAGCTTCAGCAATCTTCTAAGACTTTCTTTTTATTTATAAAAGCGAATCTTATTAGAGAATTCCATTTCAGCATGATAGAAAAGGAGCTCTACAGATGTGCTTTCCAGTGAAACTGGTGAAAATTATAAATGGAAAAACATTTAAAGATTCTGGAAATGGATCTGGAGGCAAGCAGCAAATAAAGAACCATTTATTCAAGAAAATCGACTAGAGCTTGGTAAGAATGGTAAGACTCTGGTGCATGAACAAGAACCCACTCCCATCCTTCCTTGTCTCAGCTCAGTGAGGTAGAAACTTTACTCCAAACTGGTTTAGCCAAGAACACAGGGGTCCCTCTCCCTGCAGCGAGCAGTTGGAGGACGATTTTCTGGGGGAAAGGTGGGACGTCAGACATTCTCATTCTGTTCCTAGTTACTTACTGTTCAAGCTAAGTTCTAAGTCAGTATGGTCAAGAGGCAGGGACTCTTTTCTTCCTCCTGGTCCCTACTCATGGGAGAGAGGCTCTAGCTGGGCACTGTGCCACTGAGAATATGGAGCCTCAATCGCCCTTTCTCTAGCCCACCGTACACTGGGAGAGGCAAGCCAAAAAGACTTGAGGCTATTTTTTCCCCCAGCATCATATGCTCTGCCCTAAGGTTTAGCTGTCCCTCAGAGAAACATGCCATAATCTTCACACCAGCTCCAGAGCCAATAGCTCAGGATTTTGCCCAGGGGGGTGGAAAGCAGGGAATCTTGGAAAGAGAGAGCCTCTGGAGCCCACTTGGGTCAGAACTAATCTGAAACTCTGACCTAGGAAACTATTCTTTCAAAGGAGATCAAATTTGAATGGACTGGTCTGTAGAGTAATTTAGGTTCCAAGGCAGCCTTACAAACAATACAGAAATCCTGTTGGAAATTAGTGGAATTCAACAGCTAGACATGGTCAGGGGAAAAGGCAATCAAGGAGAGCCCTGCCCAAACAATTGTAATTCTAAAGTGACTGTGGACATACCCATGCTTGAGATTCCCTGAAGTGAAACATCATGGGTTTAATACCACAGAGGGGGAAATAGACTTCACTAAAACAACCCAGCCAGTCATTAAACAAATAAGCAAATAAAATAAGCCTTCAGAGGACAGTTCCCAGTTTTGCTATATTATCTAAAATGCCTAGTTTCCAACAGAAGATTATGAGACATGCAAAGAATGAAGAAAATATGACCCACAGCAGAAAAACAGCTGGCAAAAAGAAAAAGCCCATGAGAGGGACAATAAAAAATTAACTAGAGTGACTAAACAGTAGACTTGAATTGGCAAAAGAAATGATTAGTGAACTCAAAGATAGAACAATAAAGAGTACACAAACTAAAGAATAGAGAGAAAAAAAGAATAAAGAGAAATAAGCAGAGCCTCAAAAAAATGTATAACACCATTAAGTGCACCAACAAATGTGCAGTGAGTGTACTAGGGGAAGAGAAGGAGAAAGAAACAGAAAAAATATCATTGAAAACCTGAATTAAAAAAAATAGTCTATACATCCAGAAAGCTCAGGGAACTCCAAGAACACAAACACAAAGATATTCATAAATAGACACATCATAGTGAAAACACGGAAAGCCAAAACCAAGTAGAACATGTTAAAAACAAGAGAAAATTGACTCATCACTTAACAGCAAAAATTTCATAGAAACAATGAAGGCCAGACGGACGTGGGATAACATATTCAAAATGCTCAAGGAAAAAAATTGTCAACCAACAATCATATTCAGCAGAGCTATCTTTCAAAATAAATATGTATATGAAATAAAGATATTCTCGGATGGACAAAAAAATGAGAGAATTTGTCACCAGCAGGCATGTTTACTAAGAAATACTAAAGGAAGTTGTCTTCAGACTGAAAGCAAATGACCCCAGATGGTGACTCAAATCCACATTAAAAATAAAAAGAGTATCAGAGACAATAAGTATCTACTTAAAAAAGACAATATAAATGCATAGTTTTTCTCCTTTTTTGTCTTAACTGTTTTACAAAGCAATTGTATAAAACAATTATGTTTTTCAGCATAAAATATCTATTTTTTGAGCATAAAATATCTAGAAATTAAAAAGTAATAGTGGCATACTCTAATATCTCACTTTCAATAATAAATAAAACAACGAGGCAGAAATCAAGGTAGAAGGTAGAAGACTTGAAAAACAATACAAACTATACCTAACACTGTGGAACACTCAACAACTGTATAATAAATATTCTTGTTAAGTGAACTTAGAACAGTCTGCACTGTGAACTATATGCTAGGCCATAAAACAAACCTCAATACATGATAGAATGATAGAACTAATCCAAAGTAGGTTGTCTGACCACAGTGGAATGAAACTAATAATAGGAAGAAATTTGGGACACTCATAGACATGTAGAAATTAAATAATGCACTCTTAAATAGCCAATAGATCAAAGAAGAAAGCAAAAGGGAAATTTAAAAAAATTATGAAACAAATATAAATAAAGATACAATGAATCAAAATGTGTGAGTTGCAACTAAGTGAGTCCTTAGAGGGAAATTTATAGCTTTAAATATCTGTATTAAAAAAGCAGAAAGCTCTCAAATCAATAACCTAATTTTTCACCATCAGCCATATAAAAAGAAGAGCAAAATAAGCCTAAGGCAATCAGAAGAAAGGAAATAAGGATTTAAAGAGCAAATTAGTAAAATAGGGAATAGAAAAATATATCTGATCATATTGGGGGTATTTCTATATAGTCACACATTCTCTGCAAATAAAGGATTTTATTCATTCCTTTTCAAGTATTATTGTTTTCATTTTTTAAAAAAAATCTTAGTACACTAATGAGAACTTCTAATACAATTTTGAGTACAAGAAGTTATAGTAGGCACCTTTACTTTGTTTCTGATTTTTTTAAAAAAGAAAAAGCCTTTTGACTTTCAACAATTGGGAAGAGGATCAATGGTGTTTCTTGGAAGATTTTTTAATTGTCTGTTTACATGCACTCTTTTTTTTTTTTACTTTAGTTTTACTTTAGTTTTTTTTTTTTTTTTTGGTTAATTTGTTTGTTTGTTTTATTTGCTGTCAATAGTGTAAAAGGAAAGAACAGTCATATAAGTGATAGTATCTTGGCTGTTCACTACCTCTAAACTTGGCTTCAATTTTACTCATACGTTATTCAACAATCTTCTTTTCAGTCTTTCATGTTTTCATTGTGTATCATCTTCTTGTCTCTGAATCTTAGCCTGCCCTCTCCCCTTATAGCTTCCGCTTATTGTTTTTATTGCATTTGTTTTATCTTTTTGAGCAGAGTAAACAGAGAGTGTGTCCTAATAATGAGATGTTAGATACAAGAGAGAAATTTTTCTAGAAGTAAAAAATATATGAAAAAAGAGAGGAAATGATCACTGAATCCATAGTTACATACTACATTATTTTAAAAAAAGAAATCTCTTGAAGTTGAGGGTAAAACAACAGTTTCCAAAAGATAGAAGGATATGCTGACAAGATCAATTTAAGAAATGGGCCGATCAGTATCAATTGCAATTCTCTAGTGGATAGAAAATACTTAAAAAAATAAAGAATAACAATATAATAATTAAAACAATGCAAATTAAAAATACAATCAACTATATCTATATATAGTAACTATATTGCATTAGGTATTATAAGTAATCTAGAGGTGGTTAGACGTATATGGTAGGATGTACATAGAGTATGTGTAAATACTATGCCATTTTATGTAAGAGACTTTGTGCACCCATGGATTTTGATATCCACAGGAACCAATCCCCAGTCTATACCAATAAGCAAATGTATTCATATTCCCCATCATTTCTCCCAGTTAGGGATTTTCCTGTTTCCTCATTCTTTTGTAATGCTTTACAGATAAATAATATACCAAGAAAAAAGAAAAACTCAATTTTCAGGAGCTTGCTTTATTCTTCATACCCAGTTGTTTATGACTGACTTTTGTACAAAAGATCTTCATGGGGACTTAAAGTGGGCTAAGAGCACCAGTCATGCATCCAATGACAATATTCCTAAAGTGGTAGTAGAATTGAGTTTCCTTCTCCTTGGCTGAGAAATACAAGGTATGTGCCAAGTAAATAGTAAAGAAGAGACCAAATGAACAAGAGCTCTTTTCAAGTACGTAGACTTGCTTAGTTTCAGGCAGCAGAGTACAGTTATGTAAATATGTATGAACTTTTATTCAGATTATGATAACAGATTGATTATGAACAAAAATATTTAGTTTTATTCTTAGTTTTGTGTAATTGTGTTTTTCAAGTAATTTGTTAGGTTTTTACTGAATGTTATGAGACAATGCTAAAGGCAGTCATCTTACAATTAATCCTTTATAATGTTTATGCATTACTCTTGTGAAGTTTTAGAAAAAAATAGATACTGTTAAATAAAATGTATATGTTTTATTTCATTAAAATATAAGCCCCTTGAGGCCGACTTGCCTTAGTCACAGTTCTACTCCCAGTCTGTAGCACAGGACTTGGCATAGAGCAGGAATCCTCATAACATTGGTACCATTGTTTAACCCACTTCTATTTGGAATGGTTTCAGTTTTAAGGAACTGAACACCTAACTGATTCATTAGAACTAAGAAATATTTTTAAAAGTTAGAAAATGAGACAGCAATGAATATCTATCTGTCTGTCTACATACCTAACTACCTATCTATCCATCTCTCTAATCTTATAAGAATTCCTGTTACCGAACAAAACCAAAATTGAGTAAACACATTATTCTGGAAAAATTATATCAAATAGAAATGGATAATAGATAAACATGTATAACTATATATATGTGTGTGTATGTGTGTCTTGAGGGGGAGGGAAACAAGGAAGAGAGAGAGTACATTTAGAATTTCTGCACTTGATTACACATTAGAGATTTGAGTTTCTTCCCCCAAGGTCTGCATGGTTTAGCCTCTGTCTTGTTCTCCAGCTTCATGTGCTGCCACTCTTCTTTCTCTGTATGTTCCAGATATCCTGGCCTTTTCTGAGTCAAACATCTTCCCTCCTCAGGGCTTTCATATTTGCTCTTTATTCTGCTTGATAATCTCTCTACCTCCCCTTAGCCATAATTTGAATTGTGAAGATGTATGTATTCTTTATATCGATGCTCAAATATCACTTCTTTCTGTATAATTTCTTTCATAAATTGTCCCCAATATCTCCAGATAAATGAGTTACATGATGTTACAAAAATCTTTATATTTTTATCAAAACACTATTACAAAGAAATGATAGAGTAACGGAGATAAGACAGACATTAGAGGTACAGAAATAAACTCAGAAACTTCCGAGTAACAAATAACCAATTGCAGATGCATAATGAGTTTTCAGCAAATATTTGCTGAATAAATAAATGAATAAGTAACCATAAGCTATATTTTGTGGGCTTAAATTTATTTCCCTTCATGTTATTTGTTGTAAATAGTTATATGTGGTTTAAAATAAATCAGAGAGAGGGAGAGTTCAATTTCAGGCTATTGGAAAGCATATATATCCTGGGTTTGTGTATGAAAATTTAAGAGAAATATTGATGGTTTCCAAGCCTTTCTCTGGGCATGACTCATATCATGAAACATGAGCAATAAACTGAGGGCGCTTAGGTTCAGATAGAAAGAGGCTTTAGAGAGGAAAAAAAATCCAACTTTTATTAAAATATTGAGAATACCATCATGTTAAAGAGGTGCATACCAGAATTCTATTTTACTGAAGTGAAATTGGATATATTAGTCCTATATTCAGAGAGGGGCACACAGATTGAACAATTATCTCCTATAGTTAGTCAAGGAGAAATTTCTTCTTTGATTATTGATATTTCGTCCTTGAAGCATTTGGAGTTGGAAATCAAGGGATATTCTTTCACACAACATTAATATAACATATCATTTTTCTTGTAGCAAACAAGGAAGTATTCGTTATCAACTAAATACGTAAATAATTCTTCTGTTGAAGCTATAACCCTCAGTTTGCCTGCATTTGGAGATGGGGCCTCTACAGAAGTAATTAAGGTTACATAAGGTCATAATGGTGAGGCTCTAATCCAAGAGAAATAGTGTCCTTATAAGAAGAGACACTAAAGACCTTCTGCTAGCTGTTTCTCTCTGTGGGCACACAAAGAAGAGCTCATGTGGGCTCAGCCACATACAAGCAAAGAGAAGATCCCTCAGAATGAAAACTACCTTGCATACCCCACACTTACAGTCCATGAAAAATTAAAAAGTCTATTTAAAGAAAGTGTGGCACATATACTCCATGGAATACTATGCAGCCATAAAAAAGAATGAGTTCACAAAAAATGAGTTTCTGAGCAAACTAACACAGGAACAGAAAACCAAACACCGCATGTTCTCACTCATAAGTGGGATTTGAACAATGAGAACACATGGACACAGGCAGGGAAACATCACACACCAGGGCCTGTCAGGGGGTGGGGGGCAAGGGGAGAGAGAGTGTTAGGACAAATACCTAATGCACACAGGGCTTAAAACCTAGAAGACAGGTTGATGGGTGCAGCAAACCACCATGGCACATGTATATCTATGCAACAAACCTGAACGTTCTTCACATGTATCCCAGAACTTTAAGTTTAAAGAAAAAAAAACAGATAGACTGTGCCTATCTGGATAACTCTTCACTTTTATCTGTGTAATTTATCCCACAGTCTGAATTTATTTTCCTTCCTTCCTTCCTTCCTTCCTTCCTTCCTTCCTTCCTTCCTTCCTTCCTTTCCCTCCTTCCTTCCTTCTCTCCTTCCCTCCCTCCCTCCCTCCTTCCTTCCTTCCTTGCCTCTTTCCTTTCTTTTATTTCTTTCAGTTATAGTAGTCCTCCCTTATCACAGTTTCATTTTCCATGGTTTCCGTTACTCACAGTCAGCCATAGTCTGAAACTATGAAATGGAAGATGCCAGAAATAAACAATTCATAAATTTTAAATTGTGCACTGTTCTCAGTAGCATGATGAAATCTTTCTCTGTCCCTCTCAGTCCCACCTGGGATGTAAATCGTCCCTTTTTCCGGCATATCCATGCTGTATGTACTCCCTGCCCTTTAGTCACTTAGCAATAATTTTGGTTCAGGTTGAAAAAACACAGCACATACTCTGTGTGTGTGTGTGTGTGTGTGTGTGTGTATATATATATATATGTATATGGTTTGGTATTATCTGTGGTTTCAAGCATCCAGTCTGGGTTTGGAACATATCCCCTGCAGATGAAAAAGGGAAATACTCTATTCTCTTTGTATGTTTAATAAAACAGGATTGGCCATTATTATTACTGTTAGTGTTTAAATATCTCAAGTTCTTTCCACATATTTTTTAGATAGAATAAAACAGGCAAACCCAAATTCTCTATTTGTTTTAGTGTACTTCATCTGTTGCCCTGATACAGAAATGTTACTTTGGACTAGATCCTATTTATTTAAAATTATTGAGCTATGACTTTTGGTTGTCCTTTTAGATGCAAACAAGAAGAAAAAGGAGGCAGAGTTAATGAAGGCACTTGCCAGGCAAATATTTATGGCAAAATAAATAGATGAAGAGAAGATCAGTAGGTATTGTGCCTTGCGAGAAATGTTGCCTGACATTTGACTTGCAAATTTATTTCAAATTTTCTTGGTTAAGTCAAATGAAATAAAAATGATAAGAAGGTCAAAACAAAGAAAAAAATGCCACTGTGTTTAGTAGGTATGGACAAGAGATTTAATTAAGTTCTTATCACCGTGTTGTGTCTGTTGTTTATTTATAAAAACCCAGCAAAGCAATAAAAATACCAAATCCAGAAATTTTCAGCATATTAGAAGGATATATGTACAGTAGTATCCAATATTTAGGAATATGAACAAATATTATAGCATCCACACTTCATTTATACCTTTCTACTCTAAATAATGAGTCTTGTTGGAAACAGTTGCAGTGTAATGAATTAATAAAAACTAAGTCTTTGTGAAGCCAGTCTCCTTCAGTACCATTATAACTTCCTACATAATTAATTGAAAGTGTACCAACATACTAAATCTGCCACGAGCAACTGGATATTCTAAGCCACCTAATTAGATCGTTGGCTTATTTGTGACTGCTTTCCATTTTCTCATTAGATTTTCTGTCATGCCACCTGATGTCAATAATCTCCATTTTTTTGGAGTGTTGACTCATTACCAAATATTATAATATTTAGTAATGTGGTATATCTAGCCATAAAATATTGGAGCAAGGTCCACTTTGGCTTTGGAAAAAAAAAATCAACATCATGGTGGATTCCTGTGGAAGTTCCTAGACTAACACCAAACTGAATGTTTACCCAACAATTTACAATTATACACAAAATGAATTAGAACATTTTAATACAGAAGATCACTTGGCAGGCTCTTTCTGCACTGTAACCATCTAGCAGTAGAGTTCTGTAAATATCTGCATGATTGTCATTTTGGAGTGAAAATGGACAGAGAGTGGGCTGTGCTATTCACTTTAAAAAACCCAGGAGTCATCAAGTGATCTATGAAACTTAAGCAGAGAATGGATTCTCCTCTAGAGTTTTTGAGGAGAGCATGGCCCTGCCCACACCTTGATTTCAGATTTCCAGCCTCCAGAAACTCTAAGAGAATAAGCATCTGTTGTTTTACACTTTCCAGTTTGGGATTATTTGTTACGGCATCCCTAGAAAATAAATGCAATAAGAAAATCTGATTACATATATTTATGATTTACTGAGTCACAGCAAGGCATTCTTATTCCCATTTTACTTATGAGGAACAAAGTTTTTGAAAGATAAAATGAGATGTTCAAGGTTTCTCAGCTGGAGGCTAAAAATTACAACCTAGTTCAGTGTATTTTCTACACTCTGCCTTTGTCACCTTAACAAAAATTACCTCAAAAAACAAGGGAACATAGACTCTAAGACATTTTTATTAAAGCTCAAGGATAAGAGAAAAACATATATGGAGGGAAGTTTTTCCATGTTATGACACCTTTATTAGAGACAACAAAAAGCGAAGTGGACAAGGCAACTGGTGGACAAGAGTATAGTATTTGATTAAAAATATATCCAACACTATACTCTATAGATCTAAATTCCATACTTTGAGCCTCAACGTAACGGAGCATAGCATACCATAACACAGCAGAGCAGAGCATAACCATGAATTAATTATGAAAAAGTTATCATTTTTGGTATGAGAGAGGAATGCAAGTATCACAGAATCCAAGTTGCATGCTAGATTCAATCACAGTGCCCAAGGTCTGGTGTGTTTGATGATTTTTTTCTCTGCTCTTAATTAGTATGCTTGCTCTTACTCAAAATGCTCCACGCACCTTTTGCAGATCCCTTAATGCTCAGAGGAAAGGCAGGTTTATTCCACCTCAGGCATTGGGGAATGAGGGATGAAGACTAATATTACTTTCATTTTATCTGAGGAATGCTTGCATTAACTAACCCACTAAAGTGAAAACTATTCCAATAAACAATTTCTATTGTGTTTGAATGAAAATTTTAAAGCTTTTATAAATATCAACAGATCTAGAAAGAATATTTTATCTATTTGGATTTATGAAGAAGGGTAAAAAATGCATTTTGTCAGCACATAAACCACTTAGGAAAAAAAAAAAACAAACACACACCAAGGCCTTTAGTGGAATTTCTTGTGACAATTTGAGAAAACAACCTAATAGCAGGTAAATATCCAGACATTAGAAAGCTTGCATTATCAGAAGAGCAAATTCCCTACCATGTCTCTATGAATTGAATAGGTGCCTCTAAATATTTAAGAAACTGGAAAAAGACAGATTAATTCATTTTGTACTTGAGCTTATAAATGTGTGCTCATTAACACATTTGATATAAAGAGTAGTTGAGCCAAAGAGTAAAATTGTTTTAAAGCACTAGTTTAAGTGAAGTACACAGTGTTTTCAAAATATTGAAATCTTTAATACTGTGAATAGAGAGCTGAAGATATGAAAGAAACTATAGTACCAAAGGTAGTGTGTTTTCTAAATAACTTGCTTTGATTTGTAGGTCAAATATCCCTGAACATAATCATTTTGTTGAATCTCGTGATCTCCCTGAAGATTTTGCATTCACACATATGAAAATAAGACATAACGTGCTTCATCAGGCAAGCCACCAAATGTAGTACAAATCCAACTTTCCTTGCCATCAGCTATACCTCCATCTTAAATTCTTTCAAGTCTACTTTGACACATTTAATTAATTCCACCTTCAGTTATTTAGCATCTGCTATCTATAAGACGTCACTGGCACAGGAAAGTCTTCCTCAACACACATCCCACCCAGCATGCCGCAATACAGTGGTGTGTGTTGCTTTTCTGTTTCACCAACTGTAAGATCTTTGGATGCAGAAAGTTTGCCTTTTTAGTACGTGCATCCTAGAATCTGTTATATGTGTCACTATAAAGAAATCTCTATGGTAAGATTTCAATTAATCCTTGATGAAGGAACAGATAGATAGTTCGGTAAGTGAGGAAAATGATTACGCATTTCAAGAAACTTCTTACCCAGAAGGAGAAAACAGACTCTAACTAGTCAAAATATCAGTCAGTTGATGGTTTATCCTCTTGTGGTGATCCTTGCCTTTCTAGTCTCTGCTCCCATACACTGTGGTCCGCTATGCCATTTGTATCTCGATTTAAATTTCTACCATCAGATACGAATGAGAGAATGCCTTAAGAAAGGAGTGGCTCAGTCAAGAAGAAAAAGCTAGTTTGTTACCGGGACAAAACACAGAGAACAGCAGTCCTTCATCTCTCTGCACCTCCCATCTTTCTGTTCTATAACATTTTCTCGTTAGCGTTTTTCTCTAACCTCTTTACAAACTGTTAACCTGATTTGCATTCTGATTTCAAATAACAAGCTATGTTTCTTTCTAAAACTTCAGCCTTATGACTCTCCCACTTACCTATTAAGCAAGTGTGCCTGGATGTTCAATATCTCAGATTCAATCGTTCAATAATGGAACTAATGATATTGATTGCCTATTTTTTCCCATCTCCTACAATCTCTTTCTTGGTTATATTTCGTGTACTATCTTTGTGATTCTATGATTTTGTACATATCTCCCCTTCCATCCAATAAACTCACTTCTTCCTTACAAATGTAGAAAAGTCCTATCATTCTTCAATAGTTAGCTGAAAATTTACTGCTTCCTTTTGGGAAGAGGCAGCAGGAACAAACAGCCTGAGGATTTTGTAATATCAAATTCAGAGATGTAATGGAGATTTGATTATAAAGTAAATGTAAAGTAGATATAATGGTGCTGTATTTATTGTTGAATAAATACATAATAGGCATAAATGAATATGAGAGGGTGAATGTGTAACAAGAGATTCAAAATAACAAGCAGTGTCTTGAGAAGTCCTGAGTGTATCTAACCCTACACAAATGGAATGCAATGAGAGAAACATATATCACTGATCTTGAACTTATTATTACACTAATTTTTAAAAATTTTAAAAATTTTAAAAATTAAGTCCCTACAAATATATACACAGTTCAAAACACCACGTTGTACCCCATAAATACATAGAATTATTACTTGTTGATTAAAATGTTAAAAATAAATACCTATACATACTAAGCTCTGATATACAGTAGTCTTCTCTAATCTGTGGGATATCCATCCCAAGACCCCAGGAGATACATGAAACCATGGATAGCATTGAACCCTATATTTACTGTTTTTTTTTCTTTTATCTGATTACCTACATAGGTAGTTGGTGACTAAAGGTGTGGACAAGCTTGACAAAGAGATAATTCACATCCCCAGCGAGATGGAGCAAGGCTGCATGAGATTTTATCACAGTTCTCAGAACAGTGCACAATTTATAACTTATGAATTGTTTATTTCTGATATTTTCCACTTAATATTATCAGACCAAGGTTGAAAGCAGGCAACTGAAACCTCAGAAAGCAAAACTATGGATAAGGGGGAACTATTGCATCTGATCCACCTTGCCAATCCAAATTTCAACCCCATTACCACTTGGGTCTGAGCATATATTCATATAAACTGATGCCAAGTGAAAAAAAAATCCTGCAGTAATTCAGTTAAAAATATCTGAGCATATTAATAATGCATATTCTTGGATTTTACTCTAAATCAACTAAATAAGAATTTCTGGGGATGGGCCCTGGGTATCTGCATTTCAAACAAATGTTGTTGGCGTAAAGATCTTCTGGGATGCCTGATAGCCCTTTCACCGTATTCCATTTCTTCCCTTAGGTGTTAGCAGTGGTTAATGGCTTGGATCAAGCCGTCAGAGGCTCCACTGGGGAAGCTATTATGCTCTGGATTGTGTGGTCCAGCCAGGGTACCAGCTGATAGCAATTTTCCTGCATAATTCCTACTTTCCTGGTTTAGTGGTAAAATAGCTGCTAAAAAAAAAAAAAAGGAAATGATGCAAGGAAATGTGGTATCCTACAGTGAGCTAAAGTCCAGTGTTTGTCCTTGAATCATTTTAAAGTTTAATATGTGATATTAAAACAGCCTGTCTAAACATATATCTTTGGGCAGAAGTCTTAATACACAGTGAAGGCAAGAGAATGGAAGGCAGTTATGTAGATAAAATTATCATTCAAGCAGTGGACACATTATCATTCCTCCCAGGTTGCTGAGAACGGCATGTGCTTTTGAATCTTAAAATCCACATTCTTCCTAATATTGGAAATAGTACTGTTTTGATCACACAAGAATGACTTTACATTAAGGTCAAACTGATTTACTTTCCCTCAAATTCACCCACATATGAACAGGTTAAAATACAGATGGAGAGAGCAGAAACAAATGATTGAAAAAAAAAGATACCTGTGTAGGTCACCCTTATGATTGAAACAGAAATCACATCAAACTCATTCAAACTCTTTTTACTGAAAATGTAATCTGATACAATTCCCTTTTGTTGTACACTATAGAGAAATCTAAATACATTTTGAAGTCATGCATTATTTCATTTTAATACTTTCTTTTAAAATAAAAGGGATTTTTTTTGAATGAGTCTTATAAAATATTCTCAAGATGGTATTTGATTTTCTAAGCTTGCCATCCCTAGTTGATAATGGATGTGTGGTACTTCCTGGTAGTGGGTAGTGATATAAAGATGTCCACCATCAAATTCTTCACACTTTAGAATCAGAAGAGTTATGCTTAACAAATCCAGAGAATTTTAGGGAATTTGTTCCCTTTCAAAATTCTGATTATTGAAAGGCTTATATTAGGTGCAATTTCTTTATGATGCATATTTCAGAATATTTTTGAATATCATAGTAGACAGTGCCCAGGCTCTGGAATCATTTTTATTTGCATACCAATCTTATTACCTATTTGGTTGCATTTTAAAATAATTTTTCCAAGGTAATACCAGATATTTTGACTGTGTTCACATTACTAATTAAGGAACTGAAGATGAAAAAATCTTTGAGGAATACATTTGTTATTCCACCTAAAGTGTTCTTTCAGAGTTTTTCATGTGTAAAATATTCAATAAAACTTAAACTAATAGTAGTTATTATTACCATATGCAAGATTATCAGTTATCTCAGCTTTGAAACAAAGCAGAAAGCTACAATCTTTTAAGAATGTTTGGATTCCACACTTTCATACTTTATAATAAATTTTTATTTGGAAGCCTCATAGTTGATATATAAAGTAAATTGTAAAAAACTAAAAATATATATGTTAAGATAAAAGTAAGGTTCTTCAAGATTCATATTGAGGAAGAGTTCTCAGAATGAAATATGAGGTTATTATAGTATTCAGATGCAATATAAAGTGGTTTTCAAGCAAATGTTCTACCTAACACAGTGTAAATCCATCATTCAATGCTTTAGGTAATACAGATGTTGATTTAAAACTATCTTAATAATAGACAAGCTCATGTGAACTTACATCTTTCTACATCACCAAAGAAAATGCCAAAAGCAACTAGGAAAATGCTATAGTTATGAACCAAATTCTGAAACTCTCCAGAGATAATGATTCCTAGAAGACAAGACTGTTAGTTGAATGTTTACATCTTCCTATCTCAGGTATTCAGCATTAGACTGTGTATACAGTAGGTGCTGTTAAATAGCACAGAATTGCCTCTCTTATCTTAATGTGTAGCCCTTTTAGCCCAAGGTCATTGACATCATTTTATAAATTTCTATCTTTTTATTTTTGTATTGAGGCCTCTCCTTTTCTTCCTCACAGAATTCTTACATTCATGTATCTCTATTGACTGGAATATTTCAACTATTAAGAGAAATATTTAGTGTCCTCTAGGAAATTGTATCCATGTCACTTCAGAATACATTTCATTCATCATTAAAGAGCTTACTTCTTTCTTTAAAATAATCTGATATAAGTCAACTTTCTTTAACTGTGAATTCAGATTTTTCTAAAATGAAAATACAGCATTTCCCCTTCCAAATTCCATGATATTCCATGATGCATGGTTCTAGACTTGCATTATTCTTGTTTAGTTATTGTACTTAATGTTTTATTCAATATGTACAATAAGTATAACTCATGCATAAAACATGCATTTCTTACCAAGAAAGAAACCACATACTATATTTGTTCTTTCTTGTCCATGGAAGAAATTTGAGGCACATTCTCACTTTTTCAGTGAGATTTAGTGACAAGAGACATTTCAATATTTAAAAAGTGTAATTCAATGTATTTTAAAAACTCTCAAGTAAAGCCCAAACAGAGGATGACAGTCTTGCTGAGCTGAAGATACAGAGATAGGGGGTTGATAATGGTGAAATTGCTGGAATTTGCAAAAGTGAATACTAGAGTGGAGGAAACTCTGCAGAAAACAGATCTTGTGAAATATGATAAGGTTCATGAATCTTTGGTTGACTACCAAGCTACACACATATAGAATGAGAATCCAAGAGGCCTGGCCAGAACAACTACTGGGATAAAATATCAACTGTGGAAATATATGTTGAATGACTACTGTGACTATCATAGGGTTGGAAACACTTGAGGTTTGACTATGTAAAGCAGAAAGACCTCACCTAATACATAAGTCATTCAGCAGAGAAACAAGAAAGATACACCATAAAAGTAGAGAGAAACTAATTCTAGGGAATAGCTACTCTAGATCTACCCTAAACCTGTTGTTAAAAATAAGCCTCTTTGGGAGGCCAAGGCGGGCATATTATGAGTTCAGGAGTTCGAGACCAGCCTGGCCAACATGGTGAAACTCCATCTCTACTAAAAATACAAAAAATTATTTGGGCGTGGTGGTGAGTGCCTGTAATCCCAGCTACTCAGGAGGCTGAGGCAGGAGAATTGCTTGAACCTGGGAGGCAGAGGTTACAGTGAGCCGAGATCGTGCCACTGCACTCCAGCCGAGGTGACAGTGCAAGACTCCAACTCACAAAAAAAAAAAAAAAACCCTCACACTGATTAGAACTGATCTAAAATTCTATTCATTTCTACCAAACTCAAGGGGCAATAAGAACTATAGTGAAATCCAGGTATCTTACCGTTAACAGCTGTGGTGTCTAAAACTCAGACAAAATTCAAGATATGTGAAGAAACAAAAATAAGTTATCTAAAATCAAGAGAAAAGTCAGTCAATAGAAACCAATATAGAAATGACAGTGATGATAAGATACTCCAAAGCTTTAAAGGAACTGTTGTATGTACATCCAAGTATTTAAAGAAAAAGAAAACAATAAGAGAAATGGAAGATTATGTACTTTTAAAACACATGGATGTTATATAAATAATAAAATAATATCTGAAATGAAATTTTAGTTGGTTGCTTTATCAACATATAAAGAACTGCAGAAGAAAAGATCTGTGAATTTGAAGACATTGCAATAGCAACTATCTGAACATGAACACAGAGATGAACAGAAAGCAAAAAAAAAAAAACAAAAAAACTATGAGACAATACCAAGTGGTCTGATATACGTGTAATCAGAGTCCCAGAAGGGGAAAGAGGAGGCAGAAGATAAATAAAGAATGAATAAAATGAAAAGTTTTGTCACCAAGAGATCTGCACTGAATAATAGGTTAAAGGAAGTTATTAATCTTGAAGGCAAATTATTCCAGCTAGAAACATGAATTTAAACAACAAAACAAAAAGTGCCAGAATTGGTAAATATGTGGTTCCCAAATGTCCAACAATGATAGACTGGATTAAGAAAATGTGGCACATATACACCATGGAATACTATGCAGCCATAAAAAATGATGAGTTCATATCCTTTGTAGGGACATGGATGAAATTGGAAATCATCATTCTCAGTAAAATATCGCAAGAACAAAAAACCAAACACCGTATATTCTCACTCATAGGTGGGAATTGAACAATGAGATCACATGGACACATGAAGGGGAATACCACACTCTGGGGACTGTGGTGGGGTGGGGGGAGGGGGGAGGGATAGCATTGGGAGATATACCTAAGGCTAGATGACGAGTTAGTGGGTGCAGCACACCAGCATGGCACATGTATACATATGTAACTAACCTGCACAATGTGCACATGTACCCTAAAACTTAAAGTATAATAAAAAAAAATAAAAAAAATAAAAAAAATAAAAAAAAATAAAAATAGTGTTATCATTTATGAAATTTAAGAAATGCATATTGACTGATTAAATTAAAATAACTCAATTATGACTTTATAATGTATAGAAATAAAATATGAGATGAGAGCATAAAGATGTCTATGAAGAAAAATTATTACATTGTAAGAAATATATTATTACATTGCTGTGTGAAGTAGTATAATATTACTTGAAGTTAAAGTTTGATAAGCTAAAGACAAATATTATAAACTTTAGACTAATGACAATATTAATAATAATAAAAGAGCTATTACTAATAAGTTGACAGAAGACATAAAATTGAGCACAAAAATAGCCACTTAATACTGAAGAAGACAGTTTAAGATAAAAAATAAAACAGAGTGAACCAGCAAACACGAATTGTAGACTTAAAGTTAACAGTGTCAAATATTACATAAAAATAAATAGAATAAGTCCTCAAATAAAAAGGCAGTCATTGCATGACTAGATTTAAAAACTTAGTAAGATACAAACTACACACACACTCAAAAAAAAAAAAACCACAACGTTTTGCTTGGAAAGTTATAAAGACAAAGAAAATTTAACAAGTAAAATTGCAAAAAAGAAAAAAATATATATAAATATACAACTAGAAAATTCTAGTAATAAAAATGCTAGGGTGGTTATACTAATATCATAAGGAAGCTGAAGTGGCTATATTAATATCAAATGAAATAAATCTTAGAACAATGAATATTAGTGATAAAGAGGGCCATCATAATAATGAAAAGGTCAATTAAATAAGAGACACTAAAAATGATATTAACATTACTTAGTGGTGCTTCTGATAGGAACACAAGTTTGTTTTTTCTTCAAATTCTGAAAATTAATCAATGGATTAACAGAATAAAGTAGAAAAGCACATGATCATTTCAAGAGATGAATTTGATAAAATTCAAGATTCATTCATGATCAAATTTTTCAGCAAACTATGAATAGAAGGGGATTTCCTCAACCAATTAAAGGTCAACCACAACAATTTCAGTTAATATTACACTTAATTTTGAAAGACTGAATATTTTTCCAAAACATCAGCAACAAGCAAGGTTGTACTCTCAACCTTCATTTAACATACAGCTTAGAAAGAAACACATAAATTGCCTGTATTCATTGACATTGTCATCCTAAAAATAAAAAATACTCATCAAGATGTAGAACATTTCCATCATCCCCCAAATTCCCTCACTGCTTGCTACCATATGTGTGCAAAGGATTGACTGCAAAGAGAGATAAGAAAACTTTGTAGGGTGACGAAAATATTCTACACCTTGATTATTGTTAATAGTGACGTAAGTGTACACATTTGTCAAACTTTTGGAACTGTGCACTTGAAAAGAGGTTTATTGTAAGTCAACTATACCACAAAAAAAGATGGCTTTTTATAAACCTTCCAATGTGTTAAATTTAAAACATCTGCCTTCCACAAGCTTGGTTTTCCTTCAGGTCTGGAAGATAGCCTGGAAAATTGGGGTATGTTTTTGTCTTCTCGCTCCATTCCTCGATTTTTCTCTTTCATTCCAGTATCTGCTGTATCTGATTCTGATCTCTTCATCGTCTTTCCCAGAAAACACAGGGATCAAGGTAAATGACATAATCTCGTATGGCTGATATAGCTGTAACCTGTCACTGAAGGCCTATGTGAGGAAGATAAAATACTGCTGGTACTTTTCCTTACTGGCATCTTTCACATGTTCCTCAAAGACTCTTCCAGTGGCAGCCTCCAACTTTAATTATTTTGATACAAATGGGCTCCATTTACTTTACACCATGCTTTTCCTAAAAAGTCCCCAACTCAGATTTCTGCCATTCCAGGTCCTCTGGCCCTACTAGGACTGGGGTTTCCTTTAAGATGATCCTATGTTTTGCTGCTACTTTATACAGTCAGAAAATTACATAGAGAGGACAAATTGCAACAACCCCCAATCTTGGAAAACCAAAAACGTGATTTGCTTTGGAAATGTAGTTGGGCTGGAATTTCAGCCTCTATGTAAGTACATCTATCTATTTTCCTTCTAATACCAGCCAGTCCCAGCTGCAGTCTACATTTGCATATAATAATAACATATAAAATGTTCTGCTACTGTAAACAAAAAATAAAACTACAAGCCCCCTAACCACCTGAATAGACCCCTCCTGTTGGCCAGGGCACTCCAAAATTAACCTGAACGTCTGGTTCAGGCCATGATGGGAAGGAAGGGTCAGACATGCCTCATCATACCCTCCTCCCTTTTGGAATTAAGGAAAAGTCGACCAGCATTTAACGTCAACACAGACCTTAAGTCTGATAAGAAACCTTTACAATCTATTCTCTCTGAAGCCTGCTACCTTGGGGCTTCATCTGCATGATAAACTTTGGTTTCCACAACCTCTTATGGTAATCCCGACGTTCCTTTCTATTGTTAATAACCCTTTCATCCAATTGCTAATCAGAAAAATTTAAAATCTACCTATAACCTGGAATCTCCCACCTGCCCCTTGCTCCCCAACCAACACCCTTCAAGTTGTCCCACCTTTCTGGCCTGAAACAATGTATATCTTACATGTGTTTGATTGAAGTCTCATGTCTCTCTAAAATGTATAAAACTAGGCTGTGCCCTGATCAACTTGAGCACATGTTCTCAGAATCTCCTGAGGGCTGTGTCACGGGTCATTGGTCATGACCAATGTTTGGCTCAGAATAAGTCTCTTCAAATATTTTACAGAGTTTGACTCTTCATCAACACTACTGATGAAACTGCAACTTCCTCTCAACACTATTAACTGTTTGCTCTACCACAGAATAGAGACCAGGTTAGCCACTTGCTTTTCGTTTTCCTTTTGTGTCAGATATCAATTCCTTTGTCCCTGACGCCCTAAAGCACATGTTAATACCTTCTCTTTTTTTTATACTTTAAGTTCTGGGGTACATGTGCAGAACATGCAGGTTTGTTACATAGGTATACACATGCCATGGTGGTTTGCTGCACCCATCAACCAAAAGAACAAAGCTGGAGGTATCATGCTACCCGACTTCAAACTATACTACAAGGCTACAGTAACAAAAATAGCATGATACTGGCACATGTTAATGCCTTCTAATGACCCTCTTTGAGTTCTCTTACTGGTAAAATAATTGTAGGAAGCCATATTCTCATACCCTCCCCTGCTAATCTTAAGCACCTTTAAAGCAGTCCTTATTACTGGCTTCTTTATCTTCGACCACTTTTCATAAGGAGCTGTGACTTACAAACTGATGTTCATTGACTTAGTTCTGAACTTTTGAAATACTTACATAGACAATGTCATGACCTGGAACTTGGAGTCTGATGGTCATCAACAGTGCTGTTCAGCAAGTGTATCTGACTCACCTTCTAAGGAAACAGTTGGACTGTACCCTTAGCCCCTTCTAAGTTAGAATTGTGTGGTTATCTTATTTGCTTTGGCCAATGAAATGTGAACAGAAGTGACGTACGTCATTTCCAGGCTAAAGATTTAATAAAAGCAATTTCTCGTGTTGCATTTTTCTTGCTAGAGTTATCCTAAGTCCCCATAAATCAGTCTATGATGAATTCTTTAAAAATGGAACAATGAGCAAGGATGTTGGATTTGTTATATTTACACAACCTAAACTAGTTCACAGCCAAAATCAGCTTTTGCATCCACTGTCAAATCTCTGAGATGGGACATTATCAGGAAAATCTTCATTTAAAATTCTGTAATTATAATTAATTATGATTACCATATGTTATTAAGTTGTTATCATTATACCAATGGAACAATTTTTTTGAATGCATTTCTGGGCAGACCATGCAATTAGCATCTGTCAGACATGTACCAGTTACTGTGCTCTGTAAAAAGCAATCTTTTCATGCCCGTAATAATGAACTGAAAATCAAGACTTAGGCAGAGGCTGTTATTTGTTCAAAGTCACAAAATAACTAAGAGAGAGGACAGATTTTATCTCAAATGATCAATGTTTATTTAAAAAATAAGATGTAATTCAATAGTTTATCTTCAAATCATATGTTTGTCATTGGCATCCAAATTCCTTTGAAACTGTACTAATGCGGGGATCAAAATATTAAATCAATCACAAATCATTGGGCATCTGAAGGAATGTTTGGCTAGATGATGGCTCTAGTTTGTTCCATTCCTGAAGTACTCTAATTCTACCCAAATGACTCTTCAGTGTTTTCTTGAATATGTCTCAAGATAAAAGGATCACTGCTTCATTGTAGTCTATGCCATGGTTAAACAACCGAAAAGAATTAGAAAGTTCCTCATTGTATTGTATGGATATCCTTCTCCAAATATCATTCATTCAATTTTTGAATTTTGTGTTCTGTGAATATAAGTCTTCAGATAAGGTAAAAGCTGTCAAGTGAATGAAAACAATTCTGGTGATCTTTTCACAATTTTTTAAACTTAAGCATGTGAGGTTTCTAATAATAGTCCATCAACCATATCCCTGCGTCATTCTTGCCAACCCAAATCTGTTCTCCTCACTACATCCTGAGATCTGTTTTAAACTTGGGCAAACATACATCTTCAAAACACTTCGGTGATTGTCCATTACTCTAATAAACAAAGTGCTTACCATATTTGGCAGGTCACATTTCCTCTCTGGCTTCATGCAAACCGTATCAATCTAGTCCATTAAATAAAGCCACATTTGAAGATGATTACACATATTTGTGATTGATGGTAGTAGGTGGTAACTTAGGAAAATCACCTATGATAACATGGAACATCCTACCAATGCCGATTCTAATACACGCCGTTCTCTTTCCCTCTCTATTTCCTTTGAAAATACAACCATTTCTGTGTAATACAGTTTTCCCTACTTACCTTCTGTAGGTAAATTCCTTCTCATACTTTACATCTTAGCTCAATCATTATTTACTCAGGGGGACTTGAACTTGTGGATGAGAACAAGGATTTTTTTAATACTTATAAATCTGCATAACATCACTTGCTCCCTCCCCTTCGTTTTACACACACATACATACACACACACACAATTGGCACCTATGACATATGTAATTTTAAAACATTAACTTTATTACTTGAGTCATCTGTTTTCTGCCACTATAGATCCCATGGTTATAACCTGTAAGGTTTTAAATTTCATGGATTTAATACCATTTGCTTATTATCCTTTGTAGATTCTGCACCTAATATAGCACCTAAGACAAAGCTGTATATTAATAAATATTTGTGGCTGAAAGAACAAATAAATGTGCCAAGCTGGGCATAATATTTAGTACAGGGCAAAGGGCATTAGAAATTCATTACACCAATGCAAATTAGAAACTACAAGATATCCCTTTACACCTACTGGAATGACTATAATAGTTTTTTATATATATTTAAAAAAAGGACCGTAAAAGTTGTTTGTGGAGACAGGGAGAAATTGGATCACTCTTACATTGCTTTCAAGGATGTACAATGGGGTAGTCACTTTGGAAAACACTTTGGTAGTTTCTTAAAATATTAAACTTATCTTTACTATATGACCCAGCCATTTCACTCTGAGCTATCTATGCAAGATAAATGAAAATATGTCCACATAAACACCTGCCCACAAGTGTTTATAGAAGCATTATTCACAGTCACCAAAATGTAAGAACAATCCAAATGTCCATCAGCTGCTGCATGAATAAACAAAACATAGCCTATCCACACAATGCAATACTATTTGGCAATAATAAGAAACAAGGTCCTGATACAAACCACAGCTTGAATGAGCCTCAAACTCACTACTCTACATGAAATTAGACAAATACAAAATCATATACTGTGTAATTTCATTTATTTAAAATGCCCAGAAAAGGCAAATTTATAGAGACAGAAAGTAGATTCATTATTGTCTGCAGCTCGTGGTGTAAACAGAAAGTGACTGAAAATGAGCAAGAAGGTTTTTTTTTTTTGAGGTGATAGAAATGTTCTAAGATTACATGGTGCTGATGGTTGCACAGCTTTCTAAATTTGTGAAATATTAAATTGTACCACAAAATGGGCAAATTTTATGGAATGTAAATGATTTCTCAAAAATCTTACTTAAAATTTTGAGAGTAAAGAGGATATTGTCACAGTTGAATTAGCATTCACATAGGAAAGCAGCATATTCTAACCCTTTGAAGATTGGAAGAGTAGTTGCAAAGCTAAAATCGTGATCCTAAAGCTTATCCACAGAACGTTCCTTTGAGCAATACTGTGCACGAGTTGAATGCTGACAATAGCTGGCATCTGAGGAGAGTCCTGTATGGTAATCTGGATGATGCTAACGGTATTCATAATGCTTTGCAAAGGCTCTAAAAACCTTCATTGAATCTCTGGGAAAATAATCTCTCTAAGTACAGAAGGATAAGCCCCTGAGATATTTCACATTTTAAGAAATAGACATTCCCACAACTCAATAAGTAGATCCTGCTGTTCAACTTACTCTTCTATAACAAAAAAAGATAATATTCAATCTTTTTTTCTCTCCTTGTGAAAAGTGAAATCTAAGCCAATGTTTCAAGTAGAGTTATAGCATTTTCCTTTTATAATAAGTCATTGAAGATTGAAAACAATTTATCTAGGCATTTAATAGCTCATTAATTTTTAGTAATCAGATGCAATGGGAGTTCATGTATTAGGAAAAAATAGTAATTTTATTGTATTTTAGAATTTGAAATGAAAAATATAGAAATCTAAGAAGATGTGAAACTGGTTTCAAAAGAATCCCAAGAGATGTCACATGTGGATTTTCTGCTAATTACTCTGCATTCTTACTTTTAAATACCCATTTGCCAAAACCTCAATATCCACAGCAGTCTAGGGAATGGGAATGATGCCTAAATACTTGTGTTGCTTTTGTTACCATGGTCTCACAGTTGAATATTGTTCAGGATTTAAAAATTATTAGTATTCCCTCTTATAGTATCTCCAATTAAATTCTCCTGTTCACTACAGCCATGGTGTTTTTCCTCAATTATTACTCTTGTCCTTCATCAGCCCTCATTTTAAAGATAAAGAAGTTTAAGAAAAAAAAAAAACATGTGTTTTGGCTTACAAGTGTTTTGTTGGAAATGCTTGTTCTGTCCAAGAAGCCATGGAGCACTTGCAATTATCTTGCTTGATTTACAGAATAGCAATTGCCCCTCCGTGTGCAGGCTGGAATCAGCAGTTTGCCAGTGACATTTTAAAGTGAAGGTTTAAGTGATTCGTTTTAACATTCCCAACCAATAACTAGTTCTACACAAAACGATTCCATCTATAAGGACAAAAAGTAGTTACAGCAACAGAGAACCTAAATAAAATACACTAAAATATATGGGTAAATGGTATGATAACTGGGACTTGCTTCAAAGAAATACAAGTGGAGGAAATCAGTGAGAAAATAAATGAATTAAGCTTGGACATGAGTTTAGAATTTTTAATATTTGAAATAAGGGTATGTGAAGTTCAATAAAGCACTTTTTCTACTTTTATATTTTCAATATTTTTCACAGTAAAAGTTAAAAGAAAACCTAGATAGATAACCTCCAATAACATATTTGTTTTTTACTGCTTTGCAGAGTTGGGCAAAATTTTCAACCTCCTTGAGTATTACCTTAACTGAAAAATAAAATGATAGGATACCCCCCATAGGACTATTAGAAATATTAAAAATAGTTCTGCATATATAAACAATAAGCAATATAACATGGTACAAAACCTAAAGTCAGTAAATGTTACCCATGATTTAATTAACAGACCTTTAGAAGGAGGCATTTATACTTGTAAATAAGAATACGATGACATAATGTGTGTAGATTCCCTAATACAGTGCCATACTTGTAGAAGTCATTGAAGCATACATTTTAATTTCTGTATCTTTGGCTTGCTCTAACCAGTCACAATTAAGGATTGTCTGACAAGCCTGTTGAAAGAGGTAGGTCCTTTACAACAAATACTATTTGAGTTCTTTAAAAGTATTAAAGGACATTTGGGTATCATTAAGTCTTTTTCTGGAGGGGCTGACCCTAGATGCTATTTATTTCATCATGCATTGTATTCACTAATATCTTTGGATGGTTCATGGTCACAAATTTCTCACTGCCCTCCCATTAAGAGTCTTATAGATGGAAATATTCTGAAATCCATTTGAGCTTCTTGTTGCTCAATGGCAATTTCTCTATGAAAGGCATTATTTCAATCACCTTCATCTCCCTAAGAGGAAGGGCAGGGCCCATGTTTGGTATTTCTAGAAAGGCCAGTTGAAGACAGAACAAAGATTCTATGAAAGGCATTATTTCAGTCACCTTCATCACCCTAGAAGGAAGAGCAGGGCCCATGTTTGGTAATTCTAGAAAAGCCAGTTGAAGACAGAACACAGACATTTTTGAGGATACCTTCCCTCCAATATTTGCTCGCCATTGCACCCTTCGTGCTCCTCAGAGATTGGTTCTGTCATTGTGGTATTGTGTCTTGATAATTCCCTTTTCCCCTTACTCTCTTACAAATATATGGGATTTTGTAGCTATCATATGTGTGATGGTTCTGTGAGACTAGCAATAATACCTTCTTCAAAACTTTGTGATTAATTGTATGTTCTTATCTTTCTGAGGCTAGAAGACTAGGTTAAGAAAGAGAATCAAAACCTCTAGAAAAATAAGTATTGTAATACGATGCTAAAGTGAGTGTAAATTACTATGTTGCTAAATCCTGTGTTATTCACTCTCATTCATTCATTCACCAGGTATTACTTGAGAAGAAGAACCCTGAGAGTTTTTTATTGGCTAGGCAATAAAAAAGATATAGCAAGAAAAAATCCAGATAGAGCTTAATATCTGATGGAAGACACAGTTAAACAACAACATTATAACAACAGCATTAATCAAACACATATTTCATTAATTATAATTGTTGCATATGCTATGTAAAAATTTCACGCTACATTTTGGGTCTATATCAAGGGGCCCTAACACCAACTAGACACATAACACATTACTAGGACTGTGCCCATTGTTGACTGCTTGCATTCAGAATCATTTTTTGGCCGTCCAGTGCTCTGCGCTGTACTGCAGGAGGTGCTGACCTGACAGTTCCTTTGTAGTCCAGAGCTTGGCTGGGTTAAGCTAATGGGAAGCAGTGGAATTCTTAGAGGGCAAGACTCCAAGTTATTCATCTCCCTTATTTTCCACTTTATGTGGCATTTCTGGCAGCAGCTGAACATCATTAATGGATTCAACTCCCCTTCCTTTAATTTGGCCTCTTTTGATTTTAACTTTTCTGGTTAACTCCAGACTCTTGGCTCCAGTAATTCTACTCCTTCTCTCTCTCTGCATAGGAGTGGAGTAGCTTCCTATTACTGTCAATATTTAAGTTACCCGCCTATTTCCTGTTTGGTTTTTAGCATCTTCCATCATCTTTGTCACCATTGTTTTGTATTAAATTTCTTGTTTTGAACATTCAACATGGTTTCTGTTTCCTTGGTACATCTTTGGTCAATACAATTAGAATTGAGAATAGAGAGAAGTTGGGAGAAAAGGCATTGTTTTCTCTAAAGGGTCCTGTCTGAAAAAAAAAAAAAAAACCTACAGATTTCATCTTTGTTGGTTTGGATAACAAAATGACAAGGTGTAAGAGATTGTCCAGTGTGATATCATTGAAGGTAAAAATGGCAAATTAAAGCAAGTTTGGGGATTAAGGGGAAGGGTAGAGAAACACAAGCTCATTGAAGATCTGATTTTAAAGGAGACATTTGAGCAGATTTGAGGCATATGAATGAATCAACCATTCAGATATCTGGAAGAGGGAAGGGAAAAAGAGAGTGCTGAGAGAGGAAACAGCACTTTCAATGGCCCTGAGATGGTGATGACTATGATTAGTTCAACATGGAGAAGAGATAAAGAAGAAGCTTTTTGTTAAGTTTTGTATAGTTTCTATAAGAACTTTTAGAACACTGAAAGTTCAGTTTCCCTGTATATAAAATAGAGATAATAATCAGTTATTTTACATAAGAGTGAGGATGAGAAGACATAGGGTATGCAAAGTGCTTAACATAGACCAGGCACAGCATAGCAAGGTCAATTTATTATTATTATCATTATTTTTATTACTATTGCCTTCTTTGTGTTTTCCATCACTACTACCCTTTCCTGCAGAGACAATGAGCTTGACTTGCTTCACCCATACTTTTCTTAGAAGATGATTGTCAGGTTTTAGGGCAGAATCAGTGGCTCTAAATCAAAGCACAACTTGCCCTCCCACTTGAAAATGAATCTAAATTAATTGCTACTGTGTTCATTGGAATTGGATGGTAAATTTATTTATGGGCGGGAGTCTTTGTCTTAAATAACTTAATTAGAATCTAGCACTGAGGCTGTATTCAGGCTTTGGTGTTTACAGAATGAAAGATGAATATTCTGGTCCACATTGGTTATCTAATTTAAGAAATTTAGATAAATGTGGAGTTGCCAGTTTTTGCTTATACGTAACTGAAGCAGAAAGTCTTATTCATGTTGAGATATTTCTATGTCAGTGAATCTGATTTCTCAAAACCAAAGTAAAGCCACACAAACATAATCTGAATGTTTAGAAAAATTATTCAAATAATGATCAATATTCGTCCAGGAATACCTCCAATCTTCTTACTCTATTTTCATAGCAGCATGATTTTTTTGCCTGAATTATTGATTTTTCAAATTTCGTAGTCACCTACGCTATACAGGGCACTGTTCCCAGAATTGATTGCCACAACTATCCATTTAGTTTTGCCTGTGAAAATAAAACCAAAGAGAAATTGAAAATCCACTTTCTCATTCCAAAGTTCTTATTTTAAAAATCAGCAGTTGGTTTGTGTTCAAGTGGTACTTTTTAAGTGCCCCTCATCTGGTTCTTTTAATTCCTGTGCACTCTCTTTAATATGTTCAGATCACTAGATATTCCTGCTGTGTAACCTTCCACCTACCTACCCCGGGTCTGTCGCTGTCTTCTACAGGCTTTTAAGTTCTCTGCAGAAAGATCAAATCATTAATGGTATTAAAGATGTTGCAGTGAAATTGTTATCTATGTTGGAAATGCTACTTGGGTAAAGAAAAAGAGATATTTTTAATTGGAAGTCTTGCAGCTAGAAACCCTGACAGAGCTGGGTTTTGTGTTTCTTTATATTTATTTGAGTGAATGCATTTTAGGTTAGCAGTATGTGTTTGGAAATTAGAAGGACATTTCTGCATCTTGTATGTGTCCTTTTGAGGTTTGAAAGCAGAAGCTGTGCTTAAAAAGTAGCTTTTGAAACAACAGAAAAATAAATAGTTCATTACAGCAACTAGATATTTTTTAAGAAAGCAGCAACCATAGGGTTTAAAAAGGGTTCTATAGACCAATTCTCCAAATTCTTAATCATACAACTGTATGCAAATTATATAATATCCTTTACTACGGTACTGTAAACTTTAAAATTATGTTGATACTTTCCTTAAAGGTTGTGATGGATTAAATGAACCATTGAACAGTATGCCTGGATTATAATACATTAATTATAGTCTCATTTGTCTTCCTTTTTTCCTGTAATACCACAATAAAAAGGGAAGAAACACAACTGTAAAAGAAAGTGGCAATGTTCAGTCCTGATCCCACTTCTAAGCCAAAAAAAAATCGGTCACAAAGTTCATAAAGTACATAAGAGTCAATTCTTTACTTAATATGTACTGTACACATACAGATTTTATCCAGTAATCTTAACTTTAGATGAGGACATAATAATCACATACCCGTTTTGTAGACCAGGACACTGAGGCTCAGATAGTCTAACTACTTTTCTAAAAGCCATTCTGTTCTTTAGCAGCACTCTGGGCACCTAGGTTTCCTGATGCCACAGCCTAGTGTCTTCAATTTAATGGATATTATAAAGGTCTTGATGCCTGTCATGAAGAGGATGCTATCAATTTAAATATACTACAAGATGATACTAACAACGCCTTCAGCCCTCACACAAACCTTCCTGCCAGAAGTAATTATCCTAATCTGCTATAAGAAACACCTATTAACACAATATTTTTAATTGTGCTTTCTGGAGTCAGACTTTTCGGGTTTAAATCTGGTTTTCCATCTATCCACTAAGTGCCCTGGGCAAGTTGCTTAATCCTTATGTGCTTCAGTTTTATCTTGAAAATGAAGAAAATAACAGATTTAACCTACGTAATTTCTAGCTATTTTGATTGCATAGCATCTGTAAGCTAAGAATTGTAGTGAGTCTTTTCTAAGCTTTATCTCATTTATATATTATTGCATTCATTTTTATCATCACGATTTCAATCAGTTCCCACCTCTTAAAGGTGAGGAAAGTCATCAGCATCCGTTGGCAAATCAGAATACTAAAAGTGAAAGCAGTGAAATAACTCATCTCGTAACCTGACCTAAAAGGACTCTGATTTATTTCTCTCTGCATCCAGAATTTATGTTCTAAACAACTTTGAAGTCTTTCTTCCCAGTAGTAACTTTTCCAATATGCTGTACTTTTAGAGGGAGAAGGAAGGGGAAACCCACACGTTTGTGTTCTCTCTAATTCCTTTCATTGTGTCACCTGCCAGTGTTAGCTCTACCCTTCCATACCCACCTCCCTGCCTGAGCAGCTAATTTACATTCTGTTATTTCAACTCTGACACAAACCAAATATGTAACCATATGGGCACATAGCCCTTGGAAACTTTAATGAAGGACACCGGCTTTCTTTACCTATAGATATAAGGACTTAAGATATGTACGGTGGCAATTGTTTCCATATGCTAACCTCCCCCAGGGCCCAGACTTGCCTGCAAAGCAATTTGTTTTCAATTAAGTTAGAGGAGGAGTTTTGCCCTTTTTATGAGTGCTTCCTTTTTCGTGTAGTGTGGGGTGTTGAGTATTTGGAAGAAATGAAATGTACTTACTGTCTACAATAATCCCAAATGCAGCAGTCTGAGCTCTGAAGGTGTTAGTATCCTCATGTGGTTTGAGTTTCTGCAGAATTACCCCACTGAGATGGATCATATCCCAGTGGGGATATGAAGATTCAAAGAGCTTAAATTCCCTGCCATTCTATCCTCAGGCAAGGGATGTCGTCTACTGAGAGACCTCAGGTAGATGGACAAGGGAAACACACCCTATTTATAAAGTGATTTCCCTCTTTCTGCCTTTAGCATATAGGTCAACTACAACATCAGTTCTAGTGGTCTTTATGATCTTCAAAGCGATGTTTTCAATGGAATAAAAAATCTCGAAGTCATTGTATGCCTAAACATTTTTCAACCAAAGCACTGTGAGAAGGTTTGGGAGGTTTGCTCAGTGAAAGGATTACCTTTACAGAGCTTATGTTTACTTTTAAATCCAGGCATTAACCACCTATTTCACCACCAAGCAACACATTTCAAATATCTGTAATCCTTAACAGCCTAAAGTATAGAACCCAAAAGATTAGAAACATAAGGAAGAGCAGGAAATGAGAACTTCATTAAAACATAGACTTCCAGCTTGTTCCAAAATGAGCAAGTATGGTCCTTTATTTCATTTCACAGTTTAAGAAACTGTCCTTCTCTCTGTTACACAAAACAAGATTCTACAATGACATACTAAGAGCTTTAGAATCAAAATGATTCCAGTTTGAATTTAGCTCTTCTGTCATCTTGGAAAAGATCTCTCGCAATCACTCAGGTATTTACACATGTAAGATGGAACAATAATACCTCTTTTGTAGGGTTGTCATAGGCTAAAATGAGATAAGATGCTTAAAGTACCTGGCCCATAAGAGGCACTCAATTAGTGTCAGCCAAACTCTACCCCAAACCCAACTTTCTCTTCTAAGTTGCTCCAGCCACACCCAGGCACATACAGACTGTGAATACTACTTCTGCCACTTGATTACCCCTCCTTAGCTTTGTGACTTCAGGGCAATCATTTAGCCTCAACCTCACCATGTCTTAAATTCTACAGCTTTAAAATGAGGATAACAATAATATGAGCTCAAAGATATTTGTTGGGAAACAAAAGGGTCAGGAAAAGTGAAACCATCGTTTTGTAAGCCAAGATGCAATACTTACTATGTGTTCATTATGATTGCAGAATCTTTATTTTTCTTCAGTGATGATAAGAATAGCCAGATATTTGGTACAAGAAAACATTTATTCAATCTTTCTGAAGATTTAAACATAAATCATAATAATACTATGAGGATGGTTTTACTAATACATTTTTTTTTCAGATAAAGACTTGAGTTTTAGAGAGTTCAACTACTTTGCTCAAGGTTACATCACTAATATATGTTATAGGTAGGATACAACAGTCTGACCATGTTCTAAAAGCCACTGATTTAGACTGTCTTTCCTTTTCCAATTTCACCTCAGTTAACCAGTTACACTGTGATTGTCTACGTCTACATTCATACCACAATTCCATAAAAGTTGACATACTTCAAAATGTGTAGGAGCAAGGAAGTGTGTTGAACATATGTTGAATAGTGAGTCCTAGGGGATTTATACTGGTATTTTGGCAATGCAATATTTATGTTTTAAAAATGATGAAGCTGCCTGGGTCAAGAGCATCTCTGAAGTAGCCTGCTGACTCTTGAGGGCATTGTTGAGAAGGAGGTCTAAAGATAGATTCTAAAGGTTAATAATTCCTCTATTTCTTGGCTTGAATAGATGCATTATTGATCCTTGTTGCAATTCTGTCACTACTGGCTTTCTGAAACCGTAGAATAACTGGGCAGAGTGGTGGCAAGTTATAAACCCTCTTGCTAAATGTGTTTTCTCACACATTGTTGATTCTATAATGGTCTTTTCCATCTATATAAGCTCTACTATTTCACATGAGAAAAATGAGGTTTTAAGGAATATCATTTGTATCAATATGCATGATAAGATCTTCAGGGTTTGGTCAGAATTTGCAGAAGTGAGAGTTGTGAAATATTTGTACACTTTTGATAAGCACACATACCTTTATATTATAGTAGCTATTGATTAAACTTTTGAAATAAATCTCTCAGCTTTCTGGTCTTTGTTGTTGTTGTTGTTGTTGTTTATTTTCTTTTTCCTGTGCCAGGTAACACGTTTATTAGCAGAACCATATGTTGGCTCCAAGAGCATTATCCAATATAAGAAAATGCAGGGATATGATGAATATATTTATATAACTCATAATTGAAATCTTTGAAACATTTTTCCTAACAAGTATAGTTAATCATACGTGGGTGACTCCTCCCTCAAGGCTGATTGCAGTCTACAAAATCATTTTAAGAATTACCTCCATGTTGTTCTACTCATTTTTCAACCTCAGCTCTGCAATTACTCAAAATCTCCCTGAGTTTCTCTCCAGCCTCACTTTTAGATATTGATGCCAGGCTGCTCCTCACTTTATAGTCTACTAGTACCAACCAATTCTCCTTGTATATCTGGCTGTCTAGCCAAGCTGCTCCCATTATCTTCGAAAAGGCCTGTTTTCCCTTACCTAGATAAATCATGCACCTTTGTTTGCCGCACACACCTTGAGAAGTCAGTCCAGGTTAACTTCCTTCAGAAACTGATTATCAGAGTTCCTTCTCTGTGTTCTATTTACACGCTATTATTGTCCCTCTCATTGTCTTAATTATTGCTTTTCTACTCTCAAGGCTTCTACTAAGGTAAAGGATCATACTCATTTTGGGTATGCCTAGGCCATTGCTGCACTGATTTTACCTATTTGCACTATCAAGCTCTGTGGTTTGCATACATGTGCATTATCTTTTTTTTTTTCCTCAGTTTGTTTTCTTGCATTAGAGTGCCACTAAATTTTTATTGCCTCCATCTCATTATCCCTATAACACCAGCTGAGAGGTCTCAATCTCCTAAAATTCTTCATTGTGCCTCTGTCACCCAATCTGCTTGAGATCCATTTGTCTGGGAACTTATTGTGCCCTTTGAGAACCTCGGACTTTAGACAAGCAAATCAATGATTTGGGGGTGGAGTACGATCTTTAGTAGGATTGTTGATGAAGAGGTGGATCATAACGTTAATCCACATCCCCCCTATTTGTCACAGTACCTCTTTCTCGTAAGCCACAGGAACACAGTTCACTCTTGTTAAATGTACCTGAACAGATGAATAAAAGGTTAAAAAAAAAAAGTATACAAGGCAGCTTTTGTAGTACTTGGCTCAAACACTGAAAATACACTGAACAGCAGTAATAATAATGCACGACTTTTATGTATTTAACCATTCCATCAACATTTCCTGGCCACTGTGATCAACTTATTAGACATTGACAGCTGCTGAATTTTTTCCTATTTAGACATTAATAATGTGATATGCAGGGGAAATACATCATTATCCACCTGAAAATTATTAATATGTGAGAAAGTCAGTGATTTTCTATGTTAAGGAAGCAGATGTAGCCTAAGGGTTGGGTACCCATATAATTTATCATCCAAATACTTTGGGAATAAAAGTGCCATTATTACCAACCATAATGCTAGAACAACTGGCATGAACGGGGACACAACCAGGGAATTTGTGATGAAAGTTTATCTATCTAGAGAAAAAATACAATGTTTTTATGAGAGTCACTCTGCTGACATGAATTTCAATGCCCTAATGCAAACGTGATGACCAATTTTGTAAAGATTCTCCCATCAGAGATTTTTACCTCTGTCTGTGGTTGCCTGTGAACCTGACCACTGGATACTTCTTTTAGTCACTCTTGCTACGCGTCATTATTGCAGTTTGACGCATTTCTTCCTGCAGATCTAGCTGTATAAAAATGTCTATTATATTGCTATTTTTTAAAATTTCCCTCTTCAGGGAGTATGAAAAGAGTATGCATATACTTTGCTGAGACTGCTGGAGCTTTTCTACACACATACACACCAAAAGCATGTGTGTTTATCTGTGTATGTGTGTATGTATGTGTTGAGATTTGTCCTGATGTCACCAGCTAAAAGAGAGTTGTGGGTTTTTTTTTTTTCATTTGTTTGTTTTCATTGAAGGAGAATAGGTCTTATTTTCCTTGAGATTTCCCCTGTCATAACAGGCTAAATAATATTAATGAAAGTCTGTAGAAGGCCCTCTCCCAAAACAAGAACAGTGGATTTCTATTACTTTGCAGAATGCTTTTATCTGTTTTTCTCTGGAGAAAACTAATCTTCGGTGAGTAGATGGGTTAAAGTCTAAAATATGTAAGATTGACTTTGGGAGGTCAGGAAGCTTTGAGCAAATGCTGGAAAAGCAGCAGGGAAACTATTAGCTTCTTAGTTAGTATAATGTAGTATAATGGTGACAAAACTGCCATAGCAAACTGGCAAAGTGGTCAACTGAGTCATAGAGTAGCAAAACAATTGGTAAAGTGCCTACGATAACATGACAAATTAATTTAAAAAACACACAAAATAAATTTGTGGATATTGGCAGGATATTTTCCAGACAAGATGTTGAAAGTGTTAACTGACTTATTTTAATAACTCATAATAATGTGCAGAGACAGAGAGCTAAAACAAAACAATGGCAACAAAAATTACTAATTTTATCATCATAATTTAATGGAATTTAAAAAATAGGGCTTACCGGGTTAAAAAATAAAAGTATTTCCTTCAGTTCTTGTCTTTCAATATGATAAGGGATTCTCAAAGTATAAACTAGTTTGGGGAGAAGAGCAAACTATGACCCATGGAGCAAATCTAGTCTGCCTTTTGCTTTTGTACAGAGAAGGTTTTGTTGAAGCAGAACTATGCTCCTTGGTTTACATATTGTTTATTGGATGCCTTCTCCCTAGAAAGACACATTTGAGTAAATGTGACAGAGAAGATATAGGACCCCAAAGCCTTTCCTGACTCTGTATAAGAAAAGTTTGTGCACTCTTAGCACAGGAAAAGATAAAATCAAAGGTGTAGGTGCCCTTTGCTAAGGGTAAACCATTTAAGATGGTACATCTAAACAATTTAAGATGGCACCTCATAGAGGTATTGCATAGTGTACTCCCATAAAGGGATAGGAGACAGTAAAATCTTGTTGTTGTTATTATTATCATATGAGTTATGCATAAAAAACACCTTTATTTCATGCCAGTGTGGGGCCCTGAGATCCCAGAGACAGACATAAAGAAGAGAAAGAGGTAAATGAGGTATGATGCAAGAAAGTAAAATTAAACCACCTTCATTTTATAAATGTTTCTAGGAGTTTTTCTGCTTGGGAGTTCTGATCTAGCTACATAATAACAGCAGCTACTATATATGGACCAACTTGTACATGTCAGGCCCTTTGCAGGCATTATCTCTAATTCTTCCAGTTGTAATACTAAGCAGTCAATACATGATAGCTATATTATGCAACAGGCTCTGTGGTAAATGCTTTACCTCATTATCATATATAATCCTTAAAATCATTTTTATGATAGGCATTACTAACCCCACCTCACAAATGAAGCAACAGAGGCACTAGGACTTTAAATCATGGGCACGTACACACAGAATTAGAAAGTGGCAGAGTGAGGAATCCTATTTTGATCGATCATAATCTAAAATTGACTTTTGTTTGTTTGTTTTACTGGTGCCACACTGCATCTTGGCAAAGGGAAATCCTAGATATTGAGAGTTCTTTGGCAGATATTTATAAACACTAACAATGGATTTGTTTGTCTTGTCCTCAGAAGTGCTTTTCTAGAAGGAAAGTGGAAGGTTGGGGAAGGTGTCATACTCTGTAGTGAGTTCTATTATGAGCAATATTACCACTCCAGTATCTTTCCCTAGCATGATTTATAATTTTAGATGAATTTATACTTGGAGCATTTTACATCATCAGTTTTCAAACTGTCTTGGATAGTCATAATGGGGATGATGGAGTTTAGTCATATTGGGGTGATGGAGTTTAGTCATATTGGGGGTGATGGGGTTTGGTCATATTAGGAGTAATAGGGTTTGGTTATATGAGGCTGATGGGCTTCGGTCATATTGGGAATGATGAGGTTTGGTCATATGGGGTGATGAGGTTTTGTCGTATGGGGGTAAGATAGGGTGATGGGATATAGACAGAGCTTCTGATCCTGCCTCTGGTTCTGTTTCAATCACAGAAGTTTTGTGTCTCTGTGTTCTATAATAATTAGGAAACATTTAAAAGTATAGCTTAATAAACAAACATCTCTATTACCTTTGTTGTTGCTGTTGGTGGTGGTGGTGGTGGTGGTGGTGGTTTTGAGACAGAGTCTCGCTCTGTCACCCAGGCTGGAGTGCAGAGGTGTGATCTCGGCTCACTGCAACCTCCACCTCCTGGGTTCACGTGATTCTCCTGCCTCAGCCTCCCGAGTAGCTGGGACTACAGGCATGCGCCACCACGCCTGGCTAATTTTTGTATTTTTAGTAGAGACAGGGTTTCACCATATTGGCCAGGCTGGTCTCGAACTCCTGACCGCGTGATCCCCCGCCTCAGCCCCTCAAAGTGCTGGGATTATAGGCATGAGCCACCATGCCCGGCCTTCTTCTTCTTCTTTTTTTTTTAGTGGAATACTTCTGCTGTACACAAATTCCCATAATGTGAATGGAACCATTGGAGTCCGAGAGGGGAAACCATTTCTCAAAGATTGACTTTGACTGAGATAGAATTAGACCCTAGTTTCTCCTACTTTCTTCTCCTTATAGGCTCTGCTATAAGGCTGTCAGTAGGTAAAGTCCCCAGTCAATTTTGATGTGCAAAGAGATTCAGTTAACTGTCCCATAAGCCCCCCAAATGTAGCTGAATATTTACTTAACACATTGCCATAGCCTGTCTTGAAGATTGGGTAAATGGAAGAGAATCAATTCTAGATTTATCAGTTTTACTTGGGCCACCTTTCAACTAGTTCATGACCTTATTTGGGTCAATTCGTTTAGTAATAATCCCTTGATCTGAGGCCTTGTGAAGACATTGGGCAGAACAACCCTGCAGATTCTGTCCTGAGCACCATAGGATGTTTACCTGGTCTCTAATCCCTAGATGCCAGTAACTGCCCACCCCTTTCCTAGATGTGACAATTCCAGACACTGTCAAATATCTCCTGAACTGCAAAATCACTCCCAGTTGAGAACCCACTGATGTGATTTGGGCACTGAAATAACTTATTTGATCATCAATTCTTAGTAATATCTAGAAGAAAACTAAACTCACAGTCTAAAACAATATTACTCTTGTCTTAGAATGCAAAACCAGAATTTGAGTAAAGATGGATACAGTTTTTAGAGTTTTTTTAACTGATTTATGATAACCGAGTTGTGCAGGCATTGAAGTGTTTGCGGATGTTTCAAATGACCTACTTTTCATGAACATCAAATTTTGATCTATCTGTAGGGAAAAATGGATTGATAGCTGCTATCAAATTTGATAGCAGATCTTGATATAAAAAAAAGTTTTCCTGCTGTAAAATTTTAGCTGTCTGTCACTTACATTATACTATGTCACATCTCACAATGACATATTGCAATGTAATGCAATGTAAGTCACATAATAGACAACTACAATTCGTAACTTTCTGAGAGCCATTCTCTACTGAAAAGCTTCCCAAGGGAAGTGAAGGAATCCCTCTGCTGAGGTCATTCACAGCCATAATGCTGCTGGTATGTCTGTGACTTACTCTTTATTTTCACAGCCTAACTTGCTTTAAAACGGACCTTCCTCCATTTCTTCTGATTGCAATGGGGCTATCAATCAAGTGGCTCCAGTGGAAAGTGGGGAATTAAACTGACCCATCAGAGGTCTCAAAGGTGCAGTTAACCTAAAGCAATAGTTTGTGTGAATTAAATCATTAGATAAATGCAAATCAAAACCACAATGAGACACCATCTCATAGCAGTCAGAATGGCTATTACTAAAAAGTCAAAAAACAGATGCTGGCGAGGATGCAGAGAAAAGGAACACTTATATTCTGTTTGTGGGAATGTAACTTAATTCAAGCACTGTGTAAATAAGTCTGGAGATTTCTCAAATAATTTAAAACAGAACTACCATTTGACCCAGCATTTCCATTATTGGGTATATACTCAAAGGAATAGAGATAATTCTACCATAAGGACACATGCATGCACTATCACAGTAGCAAATACATGGAATCAACTTAGATGGCCAGCAATGATAGACTAGGTAAAGAAATATGGTAATATATACCATGAAACACTACACATCCATTAAAAAGAATGAAATCATGTCCTTTGCAGAAACGTGGATGCAGCTGGAGGCCATTATCCTAAACAAATCAACACAGGGACAGGAAACCAAATACTGCATGTTCTCACTTATGAGCAGTAGCTAAACAGTGAAGTACACATGGACACAAAGAAGGAAACAATAGACACTGGGGACCACTCGGGGGAGGAAGAGGAGGCAGCAAGGGTTGAAAAACTACCTCTCAGGTACCATGCTCATTACCTGGGTAACAGGATTATTCATATATAAAAGCTCAGCAACACACAATTTACCCATGTAAAAACACCTGCCCACGAATCCTCTGAACCTAAAATAAAGGTTGTAGAAAAATAAAATAAAAGATTGATTTACCTCTGGGAAGCTACGGCCTCATAGGCTTAGGGGCTTGTCATTGAGATGATGCTTTTCTGAAAATAAGACAAGGGAGCCCTCACTGGGATTATTATCTTGTCAATGGGCATGTGGGTTGGTTTTCAGGGTTCATTCTTTCCAGGGCCAGCATCTTGTACAGGAAACACTCACACAACTGTACACAGCAGCTTTGAGAACATGTCACCCTTATGCAGACAGAGAATGGCTCAGTTGGGTCACATGTTCACCACCGAGGCCAAACATAGACCCTTACCCAGGAATTGATTTGGAACCTGGGATAGAGAACATCTCTTATCCACAAACACCAAGCTATGAGATGCAGTCAGAACTACACTTTTGGAGAGTTATTTTTTTTTTTTTTGAGACAGAGTCCTGCCCTATCACCCAGACTGGAGTACAGTGGTGCCATCTCGGCTCACTGCAAGCTCCACCTCCCCAGCTCAAGCAATTCTCATGTCTCAAGTCTCAGCCTCCTGAGTAGCTGGGATTGCAGGCCTGTGCCACCATATCTGGCTAATTTTTGTATCTTTAATAGAGACGGGTTGGACCAGGCAGGTCTTGAACTCATGGCCTCAAGTGATCTGCCCGCCTTAGCTTCTCAAAGTGCTGAGATAACAGGCGTAAGCCATTGTGGCCAGCCCCTTCTGGGGAGTTTTTTTGTTTCCACTCTGTAGAGAGAATGTGCAGAGCAGATAAGCCAGCATAGAGAAAATTAGAGAAATAGGAAAAACGAAAAACAACCAAACAAAAAACAGGCTCATGCAACGTGCTTGAGGCAGCTGGATCTGGTTATTAGACAAGCCATTTAAACACTAGACTTTTTTATTATTTGGATCAATTTCCCTTTACAGTGCAGATAGCTTGAGTGGGATTTTCTGACACTTCTAACATATAAGTTTTATAAATGTATTTACTCTCTCCATTTAGTTTTCTCCATCTGAGAAAAAAGCTCTTTTGTGTGAAGCTACATGAAATGCATTCACTCATTTAACAGTCTCTCACATTCTTTAATCACAGACTCCATATATTGATTTTCCCTTTGAGCCCACGTATAATTATTTGTGTTTTTTTATCCTCATAATGCTGTAAATTATCCCTGGATGTATCCATTTTAAGAGAAGCGTAAGGTTGAGAGTGGCAATAGCTTATAAAAGATGAGCTAGCTAGTGATGGAGCACACAGACAGAACCCAATCTGTGGGAAATGGTTTCTTCGTCTTGTATGCTTGTCTCTGTCCCTACTCACTTTCATCATGTTGCCTCCGAGAGTCTTTTATGTATTAGAAGCATAATAAAGACAAGAATTGTGTGGGATCACGGATAATATAATCACAGCTGTGACAGACCATGCCTTCCCCAGTTCCTCCAATTTTTCTCTGCATCCTCCTTTTTTCCCCTCAGGCTGCTAAGAAAACAAACAAATGTATTCCATATATCAAGAGGCTCAGACTCATTGCAATATGAGTGTCCTCGCTTCTGTAAGTCCAACATCTAATGGACCTAAAATACTGGAGCTGGCAGGGACCCAGGAATTAACCAGTAAATTGTAAACTCTATCCGCTTAATCTCCACGACCAGGTTTGGCCTTCACTTCTTGAGTTACACTGAATCTCCTCCAAGGACTTATGACTTCTCCGATATCTTTCTTTGGTTTTTTTCATCTTTGCTCTTCTAAGGAGGCATACGTCACCCATATAACAAAAGCACCTTAGCTGGGTGATGCTCTTAAGAAGGAGAGTTGAAGTGGGAATATTTATGTCCCAAAGGGTAAAAAGTTTTCCTGCTGTTTGGAAATTCCTGCTGCCATGTAATCCTCATTTATTTGAACCCTTTTATACCTCTCAAGGTCTCCATTTAGAATATACTTCAAGTTGGTTTTAGATAGCTAGTTTAACCCCTTAAACTCCATTCCCATTTGGTGCCAGCTTCCTTTCATGAAGCCCCACCAACTTTGCTATTCAGTTCACCTGAATTATGGTACTAAAAATCTCTGCTACTTTCCTCCTGTTCTGTACCATTTGCTCATTCTCATCGCCCTTCTGAGAAGAAAGGGTCCTGGTAAGAGAAGTTCTTTGATGCAAAACTCCACGTTTTAGTCTCAAAAACAGGATCTAGAACATAATCTGATAAGGCATTTCCAGGAGAATCTTTCACCACCATGCGTTGGATTTTAAATTCTTACTTTGCAATTTCAACATTTGAAATTGTGCTTTTAAGAAGAAAATGAACAAGCAATTCCTTGTTAATGGTACTTCATTTACTTTTAAAGACACTGCATTAAGAAATTAAATGAGTAATATAATCCAAATGATGGCTGCCTTTGCTTCCTTACAATTTTTTCAGTTTGTCTACACTTTAACTTCAGTGGAGCGTTGATCTCCATAACATAGTCTTTTCACTCATCATTATTCTTTTTCATTTTTATTTTATTTTATTCTATTTTGAGACAGGGTCTTGCCTTGTCACCCAGGCTGGAGTACAATGGCATGATCTTGGCTCACTGCAACCACTGCCTCCTGGGTTCAAGCAATTCTTGTGCCTTGGCCTCTCAAGTAGTTGGGATTACAGGCACCCACCACCACGCCTGGTTAATTTTTATATTTTTAGCAGAGATGGGGGTTTCACCATGTTGGCCAGGCTGGCCTTGAACTCCTGACCATAGGTGATCTGCCTGCCTCGGCCTCCCAAAATGTTGGGATTACAGGCATGAGCCACCGTGCCCGGCCCACCCAGCATTATTCTTGTACTGAAGTTCTTGTTCTTGTTCTCTGCTTCTTTTCATAAGCCAATGTGCTTTATTAATGGAAATATTATATTTCTTTGACTCTAAGATATATATATTTTATGTTGTAATGTTCCCAAAATCAGAGTTTCTTAAAGTTTTATTGTATTTAATTGTCAGTTTTTCTTTCTTAGTTGGACATAAACTGATGTCTCATTAACAGTATCTTACATTTGATGGCATTAAAATATTAAAGTGTGAGATTAATTCTGTATTTCTGCTATTGTGAACAGTGCTGCAATAAACATGAGAGTGCTGATGTCTCTTTGATGTACAGATTATCTTTCCTTTGGATATACACCCAGTAGCAGGATTATTGGATCATATATTAGATCTATTTTTAGTTGTTTTTTTTTTTTTTTCTTTTGAGACGGCGTCTCACTCTGTCGCCCAGGCTGGAGTGCAGTGGCGTGCTCTTGGCTCACTGCAACTTCTGCCTCCTGGGTTCAAGCGATTCTCCTGCCTCAGCCTCCCAAGTAGCTGGGACTACAGACACGTGCCACAACGCCCAGGTAATTTTTGTATTTTTAGTAGAGACAGGGTTTCACCATGTTGGCCAGGATGGTCTCGATCTCTTAACCTTGTGATCCCCCCACCTCGGCCTACCAAAGTGCTGGGATTACGAGCGTGAGCCACCGCACCTGTCTTATTTTTAGTTTTTTAAGGAACCTCAATACTTTCTACCCTAGGGGCTGTATTAATTTCCATTCCCAATAACAATGTATAAGATTTCTCACTTATATGTAGAAGCTAAAAATGTTGATCTCTTGGAAGTAGAACCAGAACAGAAGTTACTGGTAGGAGTGATAGATGGTGGCATGGGTAGCCAAAGGCTCTTTAATCGATAGAAAAGTACACCTAGATAGCAGAAATAAGCTGTAGAGTTCTATTGCACCATAGGGTGGCCATAATAAACAACAATTTGTTGTATATTTTCAAATAGCTAGAAGAGCAGTTTTTGAATGTCCTCAACACAAATAAATAATAAACCTTTGAAGTGATATATGTGCTAATTACCCTGATTTGATCATTACATGGTGTACACACATATCAAAAATATTAGATTGTACCCCACAAATATGTACAGTTAATATGACAGTTTAAAATACTAATAAAAGAATAAATAAAATAAGAAAGAATGAGATTAGAGTTTGGGCTTTGGGTCAGAAAAGGCAAAGACAATGCGTTGACCTGTTGTGATTTCAGGCCACTGGGAGTGATCTATCCCAGTCGCAAATGGGTCACTAGACTACCGTGATGTATAGTTCTAATGTCCCAATTGAAGTCCCTACTTTGTTCTCTATGAACATAAAATCCCCAGAGATATTCAGGGACATATACACTGGTCTAGGTGAGGGCTCTTGTATTTCTGTGTACCTAACTTTAAATCATTTAAGTTTCATATCATATTATTAAAAAGTTTATAAACATTGCTTATGTGGAATCACAGTGCTACACAATTCTCATTTCCAGAAAACAGTAAATATTTCTAAATGTTTCCTTTTCATTTAATGCATTTGAGATACTTTTTATTTTAAAAGTTTAATAATGAATCATCTGTGTTCTTTTTGTCTTAATATATTGTGTACATTTGAGTGATTATGAATGATCATTAAAATAGGATAATGTAGAATAAATGTGAATAATGAGAATTAAATGGTAGTTTTGCAAATTTCCAGTATTATTCACTAGATACCTTTGTCCAATTTATTTCAGTGAGTTTCAATCATTAGCAAGATACGGGAAGAGCAAAAGGACATCCATATAGAATTAGTTACTTAACTTTTATGGTTGATGTGCAATTTTTTTCACCAAAGGGCCACTCCAGGCCTTCTGACTAACTTTCCAGCAAGCAGATTTCCTCCATGTCCACGAAAGGTTACTTTGGGCGCACCATTGTTGTTGTCATTGCTAGTATTTTTTATTCTAGATATTTCAATGTTTTAACTAATTGACAGTCCTTCAAGACTTTGGCCATATGTTGACTGTCAGTCTTAATTTTTATGCTTTTCCTTTTTTATGTCTTCTATAACAATTTCTATGTTTTTCTATACCTTCGTTAAATTTAGAACGGAAAGTTGTGCGAGGTTGAGTCAGGACTATTAGCCCAATACAAGAGACACTGTTGTCTTCCTAAGAATGAAAAATAAGTCATACTTGGCCAGGCGCGGTGGCTCACTCCTGTAATCTCAGCAGTTTGAGAGGCCGAGGCAGGCGGATCACGAGGTCAGGAGATCTAGACCATCCTGGCTAACACGGTGAAACCCCGTCTCTACTAAAAATACAAAAAATTAGCCGGGAGTGGCGGCGGGTGCCTGTAGTCCCAGCTACTTAGGAGGCTGAGGCAGGAGAATGGCGTGAGCCCGGGAGGCGGAGCTTGCAGTGAGCGGAGATTGCGCCACTGCACTCCAGCCTGGGCGACAGAGCGAGACTCCGTCTCAAAAAAAGAAAAAAAAAAAAGAAAAAAGAAAAATAAGTCAGTCATACTTTATTTCTTAATGAGTCAGTGTCATTGTAACGACTTGCAAAGACTTGTGAAGGTCAGATACATAGAGTCAAAAATAATGATTGATATATAGTTGCTGCTCATGAAGTAGTCGGTACAATTATCATGTTGTGATCTAGACCTGTAATACCTGAAATAGATCATTTTGATTGTTTCTATCTTTCTGTTGTAATGTTACTCAGTTTTACAACAACTAATATTATGAGAATCTTCTCTAATGCTTAGCTGATGGTTGCTGACCTATAGTTTGCAGAAAGGAAGCACAGCTTGTGAAAATTATAAAATAAAATAAGAACAGTCTTACTGAGCAAATGTTCTGGGAATAAACTGCAAGGATTTAAGAGACAGTGTGTGCTACTGTGGAAAATGCAGCTTTAGCAGCTTGGTAGCCGTGTTCTTTGCCTGGCAAGTCACTTACTATAGCTGAACTTCAGTTTTCTCATCAGGAAAAATGGCAATAATAATAGTCACCCTGAATATTTATATAGAAAGATAAATGGAGAGATAGAAGTAATATAAGTTGTGTGAAATAAATAGGTGCCTAATAAATTTTAGACATTGATTTTTCTTGCAATTTGATATATAATCAATACTGAGTAATAGAGAATAAATTTGTCTTAAAATAATTACAAAACTCCCAAATAAAATCATAGATATGTAAACATGCTTCCTAATTTATAACATAATTCATATTTCTGAAAAAACTATTTCACAAGAAATTATGTTTCTATGGAATGTAACGTTAGCTAGATTATTCTTTGGGGAAATTATATACTACATTGTAGAATACGTATTTATTTTAGGAAGACAGAAAACTTATAATACTGTTAATATAGGGAGATAGTTTTTTCTTCTCCTTTCTTCCCTACCTACTCAACATGTGAACTTCTTCTCATTACCTGAACATATTTCCATTTTCTTCCTTTGAGAAAAAAGATAGAGAATTTTAGATAATTGTCTCTTACCCATTCTAAAACTTTCTTTGTACAACTTTAGCTTACCAACATTTAAAACAAAGGCAAGTTTCACATTGACTCACAATATATGTTTCAAAACATGGCCAAAGTTACTTTTTATTTCTTTATCTTTTAAACTATGCACTGATAAAATGTTTTCATGCAGGCCAGGTGCGGTGGCTCACGCCTGTAATCTCAGCACTTTGGGAGGCCGAGGCGCATGGATCACGAGGTCAGGAGATCGAGACCATCCTGGCGAACACAGTGAAACGCCGTCTCTACCAAAAATACAAAAAAATTAGCCGGGCGTGGTGGCAGCGCCTGTAGTCCCAGCTACTCGGGAGGCTGAGGCAGGAGAATGGCGTGAACCCGGGAGGCGGAGCTTGCAGTGAGCCGAGATCGTGCCACTGCACTCCAGGCCTGGGCCACAGACTCCATATAAAAAAAAAAAGTTTTCATGCGTATTACTGATATATATTATATGTATTGATATCAATATACTTTCCAGTCCCATTATTAAACAGTGTTTGTGTGTGTCTGTGTGTGTAAAAGCCTCAAATAAACACCAACAAAGGATGTAAGCACATCAAGATACCAAAAACCATCTCATTAATTTCCTTTTGGAGAATCAAGCAAGGTCTTATGATCATACGGCCTATGTATTTACAGAAAATACTTCATGAAACTTTTGTCTTTAAAAAACTTTTTTGGACAATCCCTATTTCTCCTTTAAGTAAACTACATTCTAGGTATATCCCTTAACTTTGACACGCACATAGCGATGTTTCATGTCTGTAAAAGTTTACTAAAGCTTTCTCATTTTGAAAGATCTCTCTGATAAACCAAAATGGCATCAAATAAATAGCTTTACAAAATGCTTCTATTTCCTTGTCTCCAGACTTAAATGAAATATATTCCCAAATTACGAACTATTGGGACCATTTGTCATATGTTTATTGAGTTATTTTATTTTATGAAAATGATTTAATTATTTAGTTTCTCAAGAATTCTGCCCAAAGATACTGAGAAAGAAAAGCTACAATGTTTTAGAAGCGTATCTTTTAATAATACTATCCAATATTTTAATATGGAAGATATTTTATACAGTAATTTCTATGGTAAAGATCACTTCCATGATTTTTGAAAGTTAAAAAAATGAGAAAGTACATAAAGTACCACAGAAATTACAGTAACTTCCATTGGCTTTTATCCTACATTCTTTCATTTATTCATCACAGTGCTTTTGTTCCAACATTTTCAAACACTTAGAGTCTGTTACAGAAAGTTAAAAGCCTTGTCCAAAGTCACTTCTCTGTTAATTGGTGGACTTGGGACTTGTCTGATTTTAACGTTTGTGATATGTCTTCTAACACCACATGTTTGAACACTCAGTATGTTGGGATAGATGAGCCTTTAGCTCCCTAGCATGAACCCACTCATTTTGTAAGAGAAAAAACTGAGTTCCAGGGAGAAGTAAATCACAGTGTGACCTTGATGGAACTAGCAATGACTGTCTGGCCAAGCAAAAGAATGAAATTCAGGGAAGGATGATTGTGCTCAGCATACCAGTACAGTATCACCTTCTTTTCAGACCACCCTAAGATAAACAGCCTCAAAAGGCTGAGGATAATATACTTGAGCAATAGAGGAAGGAAATTCTAGTAGGCAATCTACTAGAATGAAAGCAAAGGCAATGAGTAACCCAAAAAGATCCAAGCACGGCAATTACTATCTTCCTCAACAAAGTGCATCAGCACATTGATTTTGGTGGTACATTAGCGAACAGATAGAATAGGCAACAGATGGAATATGAACCCAGTGTCACGGCCAGAGATCAGAACAATAGTATTCTCTAGTTTCCAGGAGGCTTCAGTAAACACTGTACACTGAAAGTGAGCTAAAACCTCCATTAACTGACAGGTACCTGAAACAACCATGCATAGGAGCTGGTAAAGGCATGAACCTCACATAATGCAACTTGTATGAAAAGTATAATGGTTTCCAATAAGCCTGCAAAATGGAATCATCAGCCCCAGTTCACTGCCAGTACTTTATCACCAAAGACAGTGATGTCTACGGATCACTGTGCATTTGGAAAGGGCTCACTGACATTCTTTCACCCTGCTAGTATAAAGACATTGAATAGTATGGTTCGACATACCTCATCTGAGCTCAGGCATAATAAGGACACCAATATGAAACTCAGAGGGAGAATTAGCTGTCCATGATTAAAGACGCACATCACCATTCTGACCAGACAAATGCTTCCTAAAGATGGAATGGGAATGATGGAATCCATGAAGATCTTACACTTCTTTATGTAAGGCCAGGTTCACAAAATTGGGTTAAGGAGGAAACTTTGTTTGTGAAAGTATAGAAGTTAGACTATGTGATAATTCCCACAAAATCATAATATTGTTCAGACTTGCCTGCAAATTTCCCCACTCTATCACAACATTTCATTGTAAATTATAGTTTCCTCTCTAAGATTTCAAATTGTTATAAGACAGAGTCCTGAGGAAAACAAAAATATACTGTATAGAAGGGCAAAACCTGTGTCTATTTAATTCACTGCTTTATTTCCAATTCCAATTCTTAAGGGTGTGCCTGGCACATGATGGACACCAAATAAATATGTATTGAATGAATGAATAAGGGAAAAAAAGATACCATCCATTATTAATAACCTCAGAAGACAGTGGGGAAAACATTCCTTGAGTCATGTGTTTGCCTTAGCAGTTACCACCCTGTCCTACAGAGAAAAGAAAAGAGGAAAAACTTTACAGCAACTGTTAACCACCCACTTGCTCTGCCCATAGATAAGGGAAGCCAATACCTGAGTTATTGTGAATGATTTAAAATGGGCTAAATAGAAGAGGGATAAAGCAGAGGATGGGAATTTCAAAGGGGAAGCGAGAGGGGATTTAAAAAGTGTAACTGGCGGCCGGACGCGGTGGCTCACGCCTGTAATCCCAGCACTTTGGGAGGCCGAGGCGGGCGGATCACGAGGTCAGGAGATCGAGACCATCCTGGCTAACACGGTGAAACCTCGTCTCTACTAAAAATGCAAAAAAAAAATTAGCCGGGCGTGGTGGCGGGCGCCTGTAGTCCCGGCTACTCAGGAGGCTGAGGCAGGAGAATGGCGTGAACGCCGGAAGCGGAGCCTGCAGTGAGCCGAGATCGCGCCACCGCACTCCAGCCTGGGCACCAGAGCAAGACTCTGTCTCAAAAAAAAAAAAAAAAAAAAAAAAGTGTAACTGGCTTGGCATGTTCAAACCAAAGCATGTATAAGGGCACAGAAGACGGAAGAGAATAACGGAAAATAAAGTTAGGAAGATAGACATTCAATCTCATTGCCTGGTGTTTTTCTGCTTTTTAAGTACATATGAAGTTCTATATTTAGCATACAAGACTTTCATAAGCTATGTATTTGCTAAGATACTCCTGGCTTAAAAATTGGGTCATTCTGTCACTCTTAAATATTCCACTTGCCACTATGTAAATAACTTTATGCTCTCTCCAGCCAAATGAAAAAGAACAATTTTTAGGTACTCTCCATTTTTATTCTTTGATTAGGTTACTGTAATGATGCTTATGTTCAAATAACTACTTAAGTTACCCAAATACTTCTCTTTCTCTTTCCTCCTTTCCCTGTGCTTTACTCATGGACAATGTTTGCAGACATGTTCAATCATTGGCCCATCGAGTAAGGGAAAATGGAAAAGCATATTATTAATCATCTCCCAAATACCTTATTTAGGTTCCTTATTAATATTTTTATTTGTTGCATTGGGTGAACAAGTGAGATTCAAGAGGTTCATTAAATTTTAATAGAGAGGAAGAGGACAAGGAAACTATTTATTATCACCAATTTGTCAGTCAATGAATTTTGTACATCATTTAAATTTTTTACTTAATATTTTATTATTTAAAACAACATTGGATAAATATTATTATACAGACAAATGTTCAAGATTATTCAATTACCTTGCAGGTTCCCATAGATCGTAATCGGAAGAGCTAACCCTAAATATTCCTAACTATAAAGCCTGTGCTATTATATATTCCATAGTGTCTCTCCCTTATGTTTCATTCTAATTCATCCCAAGACAATTTTTTTCATGTTTATCTATGCAGAGTGCCTGCTTTTTTGTTGCCAAATTATTTTCCTGCCTTCTCTATCTACTTCTTCAATAAACTGAGGGATCTGAAGCACTTGGTAGGTGTTACTCAGGTCACATTAGCAGATGGAATGTCACGTATGCCCAATGTTGTATCTATAAAGTGCTGAAATTAATGCAAAATGCAAACTTCTGTGCTGTAATGAGTTGAAATAATTGTCAACTACATTTAATATCTTTTTTCAAAAAAAAAGAATTTGCACAGACTGACAGATCATTTTGTTTCCACATTCAATTTTAATATTTGGTTGTGCTTTCCAAAGGACAGTTATGTTTGTTTAATATCCACAAAATCCCAAGACTGATTTTTATGCTTGTAAGTAAAAGATAAATCAGTAAATAACATTATTATTTAATGAAACAAACAACAAAGTGGTATGGACAAGACTGTCTAAATGAAAAACATTTTTTCTAAATAATTCTTTATATTCTTCCTTTATTATTTTATATAATGATTTGGGGCAACAGTCTCAGAAAGCAAAGTACTCAAAGGAAAGATTCTACGCACGAAGGCATCTTTAAGATAACTAAGCATGTACCAATTTATTTTGTTTTTTGATTATTATTATTATACTTTAAGTTTTAGAGCATGTACCAATTTATTTTCTTCAGAATTAGAAAGCTCTGTAAAGGCTGGAAATGTTTGCTAGCAGATTGACAGAAAAGATCTGATGCAATTCAAAACTTTGAACAGCATTTTGACAACCACACCTATAAACTATAAAATCTATGCTATGTATCTGAATTATATCCTAGTGGTCAGTAATCTCAGAACTAAATTGTTTTCCATAACATACACTAAAAAATAGATACCCACAGCAGTGCTATGTCTGACCAGAGTAATAATTTCAGGATTTTTCAACATGTATAAAGAAAATTGTTCACTTCTGCAGGTACTCTTAAATTACAATTTTAGAAAGAAAATGAAAATATGAAAACTACAAAATAACAAGAGTTTTACAAAAACTACCCAAGCAAAGAAAACCTCCTTGTCTTGTGACACTAAGTGTACAGTCATATGCAACTTAGAAACTGGAAACACAAATCTGTTTTATCTATTTTTCTTAGCTTGCACATCGCCCTTAATTACAGTTTAGGTGACAAAATGAAACATAAATGTCTTTTTATCAACAGCACATTGCTGGAAGCATAAACAATAAACTATAAATTACTGAATCGGAAGCCTTTTTGGATCATATATGCATAGTGCTGTTCTCCGTATCTATGATCTGTCACACCTCCTGTTTCATGCAAATTGAGCACTACCTTTTATGATTCAACATTGAAGAAATGTCCCATGCTTCATATAGGTAATAGTAGACAACTTACATGGAAAACACTTCCAGTCAACGTTTGGTGCTGTGTGTTGCGCTTTGAAAAAGTCCACTATGTGAGCAGAACAGACAATACAATCATATTGGAAATATATTAAGATATTAACTATCATACTCATGCAAGTACACAGTTTCTGCTTGTTGTTTGGGGATGCTTGCCTGGGAAACCCAATAATAATGGATCTGCTGAAGCTAAGGGTATGGATGTTTTTATAAAGGACACTTGAACAAGAGATGTTTCTTTTAGGAAAGCCTTCTGTTGGTTCCAAAGCAGCCTATTGTAATAGCAGAACTTAAGGAAGACTCAGGTGGCCAGAAAAAGGACAATTGGCTTAGCAAGGTGGCCCTCCTTGCTATGTATATCAGCATATAGGTCCTTCAAGTACAATCCAGCCTGGCTAGGTATACCTGGCTTAAGGCAGAGGACAGAATGACTCTGTCTGCCTTGAAACCTACATCCTGAATACAGAAAATGTATTCCTGAAGATTCAGCTGGAGAAAAGAGGAAGGACAGAGCATTAGCTCTGGCTGGCATGGGAATCAGGAAAATCCACTTCCACTTTCAGGCAGCAAATTTTGGTTTTGCAACACGGGAAGTTTGAGATAGGCTGATGGTAGTCAAAAATGCAAAGGAAGGCTGTCTGTAATTTTCCAGCTATGTAAATGGTTCCCACAGAGTATGTGTGTTTGCAGGGAGAGATGGAAGTTTGGAGGCAATTTAGAACAATTTTATATGCTAGAATTGAAAGTGATCCCAACAATTGGAAACTACCATTGTGTGGAGAAACCTGAGTTTCGTTTTGGCAATGGAGCTATAGAAAGGTTAAAAAAAAAAAGTCATCATATTCAAAACCATATGCAGGAATCCTGCAGCTATTTCTGTGGCTGATAAATACTTTCATAGTTGGTCCTCATCTTCTTCCTCCTTCTTTTTATTTTGTCTATTTTAATACCCTTTAGAATGCAATACATTGCAGTTACTGTATAAGCAGATGTTTTTGCAATGCATTCTAGTGAGGATCAGTGTTTTCCCAACTACTGATGAAGCCACGTTCAAAATCACTGCACAAGATTTATAATTCTGAAGATTTAAAGCTTCAAAGAGACCTGGCTGAGAATGATAAGCCAGAGGAGATACAGTATGAGAAGGAATTAATGAATTCACATATAAAGGGACCTCGTCCCACTTATTGTTGCGTGTTTTTCTATATGCCAGGCATTGTGCCAATTGATGTCTAAGTCCTAGTTCACACATATCCATCACAGCACAACTATGAGACAGGTATTTTATCCTGGTGTCACAGATTAGAAAACTGAGGCTTAAAATGATTTGCTTAAAGTAAGAGTATTCGATACTTCCAGAAGATAAAAATAAATAAACTGTATACCATTTGAACTAGGCCACTCGGTTGAGACAGAAATCTATCAGACAATGCATAAATTATACTCTATACAGTTAACTATATTATGGACAATGAGGTAACACGAGGCATGTTTATTCCAAAGTAATGGTTAGCATCTACATTATTCAAATTAATTATCAAAAGTATGCATTTAAAGTAAGCTTCTTATCAACAATATTTCAGTCAATGAGGAGACATTAAGAAGGAAAAACAAATTGGTATCATCAGGTACTATGGTTCTCCTGCTGGGTTAAACATAACCAAACTATAACTAAATCCAGGTCCCCTGTCTATTTCTCGTCTTACCATAGGCTCTCCTTAGAGAGCAGAGATTTGTATTTTCTCTCATTTCTTTACACACATGATTTAAAAATTGCGGTATAAACCATGAGGGCTCCCATTTCACCAGACGGTGCTCTGGCAATTTGAATCACATTTTTTACCTACAGTGTTCAGGCTGAGGAAGAGTAGTTTTCTGGAGACCTCAAATTTCCTGCAAACAAGATATTTTAGAATCTCTAAAAGGTCACTTTTTTTCTTCCCTGTCTTGTTATATTTAATTGTTAGCTATTTTCCATTTCCATGGTTAAAATTGAGGCCAATACTGAAATGTGGTCAACAAAACTCTCTGCTTATAAATTCAGCCAACTGGAAGATGAAGAAATCAATATCTTGACCATATTCAAGGTGCTTTGATTTTTTGGTGTGAACATGTGGTATAAAAGGTTCACTGTATTTTTGACCTTTACTTCTATCTTTATTTATATTGAAGGTTGCTTTCCTATTCTGGCAGAAATATGATTCTCATATATTTAGTAGAATTATTTGTGAAATAATTCAACTGTGTAGGAGACAAGAGAGAGCTCATTTCTATCTCATTTTGTCTTTTATTGTGAATTAATTGATAGAAATTGCATTAGGACCAATCCATATAAGAGACAAGAAAAATTACAATAATTTTGAATTGAAATATATGGTGGCAAGTTCCTTAGAAAATGCCAAATACTGAAATCATCTCCCTTAAAGATCAAATTAAATAGGAGACAAACTTATTCATCAACAATAGATTTGATTATATTAGCTCTCTCAACATTTTAACATTTTTCTTGCAGGCTGGAACTTGTAACTCATACTGCTCTCAGTAGAGAAGCATCAGATACTGACCATTTTAAAATTCATCTTAAGAAGGAAAATATATATATATCCAACATTTTTTACAGCTTCTTTTCATTATTTTGTTTCTACATATTAAGACAAGCCCATTTTTTTTCTGTTTTACAGTACCTATTCAGGTGCCAAGTAAGTAGTGGTCTATGAAGCAAAACTCATGGATTTCTGATCTAGGAAGAGGAACATAGAGTATAAACTTTATATATCTATTTCAAACCTGTGGTTTCATGATTTATTTTGTGAAGGAGATGTTGAAGATTTGGATCCTAAATCCAAAATCACAGTGAACATAAGTCCTACTTTCCATAAGGCAGTCCTGGTTTATGGTGTTTTTCAGACATAAATATAAGCAGCCACCCCTCTCACTTTAAAACATGTCCCAGTAGAAACAATAAATTACATGGTCGCTCTTTGTAAAACAAATAAACACAGTCTAAAACAAGCAATCATGATGTATGGAGTACTCTTTCTGTTTCAAGTTATTTTTCAATAATAACTGACATCTTTAAAAAATTTACAAAGCAAAATAATATGAAAAACCTATAAGATAGATCATAATTTTAACTTCTATTTTCCAGTTTCAAAATAAAACAGATAATCCACATGACATTAAGTATTCTATTACAGGGTTTATCATAATGTGTGATGAAGCAGAATGAGGTATTCTAAATATTTAAACTTTTACCTTCTACTAATTCCAAAATTCAAGAAAACACATAAAATTCATTTATTGTAGAATTAAATCTCCTGTTTAAAAATATTAAGGCATAATAAATACGTGTCAAAATTAGACTTTCCTTGGTACCCAATAATATCTTCCCATTCACCCAATACCTTATGTGATGCCTTCTAGAGCCACACAAGAAGTGTATCTTGAAATTACAAAATTTACAGGAAACACTAAGGATCTCAGAATATTTGGAATGGGAAATAACTTATTCATGGAGAATTTTAAATGCTGTGCGTTTTATATGCAAAAATAGTGCCTGATACTTACTAGTTCAAAATCAGAATAAACACGGACCACACTTATGCACAGACTTCCAGTTCAGTTTGGGGTTTCTAAGGAGGCTTTGTGTTAGAAATATTCATATGATTTCCATTAAAAAATATTGGTGATGCTAATAAATAAACAATGACAATGTACTTGGATTACAGTTTCCAATCAAGGGTGGCTAACAAATGAATACTCCATTATTGAGGAGACAGAAAGGGTTTTGTCTCCTCAGTGTTTATAATAGTGGAAGTCAGCTAAATTAGTAATATCTATATAACAACTGTCATTTCCTTTTTGTGATTCATCCACATTTATCAAAGCGTCCCCACAGAACTATGTAGCATTTTGTTCAAAGGCAAGGCCATAATATATTTAGCCATAAAATGTTATTTTACTTCATAAAGGAAATTTTATCAAGATTCACTATCCCTTTAAATAGAATATTGCAAACAATAGGAACAGATATCATGAATCAAATTTTACTCTTCTGAGTATAGCTTGTATACAGACCATTGAGAGACCTAAACAGATACCTGCAGTAAAGCCAGAAAAAAGCCTGAGACATTGCTTATATTTTGCTAATCATTCTAAAACAGCTACAACTAAGACTTAAATACATTTGAACAAAAATCAAGTTTTAAATTTTTTTTAATATATGGCTGCTTAGAAAATAAAAATTTTCAAATGAGATAGACTTTAAACAATAATCTATGGCTTTCACATATAATAAATAGTATAGTTAAAGAAAACAGTAATCCAAGGTTGGTCCTCAGAAAATCTAATGAAATGGATTAAATGTGCTCAGTGAGTGAAAGACTTAACAATAAATCAGTTCATATTAGCTCCAAAATAATGCTGATAAGCAATGTCCTTCAAAGAGGATTTTCTGAACTAACTGTTATTGTTAAAGTTGGTACAGGCTTAAAACAAATACCTTTAATGTGTACTCACAAACCAGGCAAAATTAGAATAGCTTTCCCTAAAGACGTGGTAAACATTCAATTAAAACTTAACAACTACAAAGTGTAGGCCAATTCTCCCTCTTAGGGATATCTCAGAATCTCAAAATACCTGGAAGCTTTCACAGGGGTTAAATTTTACTCTTCATTTTTTAAAGTAAGGTGATTGAAGTATTTCCTGGGGAAAAAATTAACTTTTTACATTAACAAAGTTCTTATCTATTGCTTAAATATTGAAAATAGGAAGTAAGGTAATTACCATGCCATTATACTGATAAGCTGAATTTCAAGTGCTCATAGTTGAACAAAAATTATCTTAATGATAATTTTCAGTTATGTTATGAAATTGCATCCTATTTTCCAATTTATATTGTACTCTGTTTCACAAAGCTAATATATTTACCTTCATTTTTCTTGATGGTGAAATTCGGATTGTTGACCATTTCTGGAAGGAGACTGTATAAGAAATAATGTCCGTTTTTGGGATCATCTTTGTCCATGGCGCTAACAGTTTGAATGACCTGAAACATAAAACTTGACGTCAGCATTTCTGATGATTTCAGAGGCTCCTGCCATCGGTAAAAGCTTAGTGACATTCTTTTTGTGGTCTGATACTTTGGCTCAGAGACTCTTTTTCAGCTTTCTAAATTGTCATGGATGGTTTGTGCCAAGAATAAGGAGAAAAATCCATTACTTTAAAACCTCAGCTTTGATAAGTTGATGAAAATTAAGAGCATTACCTTTGTGTCCATTTGGTGTCTGTGGCTTGAAATAGCAAAGTTAAGTGTATTTGAAATATCCACTGGGCAATTACAGGTTTCTTTCCAATTTGAGTATTTACGGGCATCTAGAATGAGATTTGGAATTGTTACAGTGATTGTAGTGTGGTTCTTGGGAGGATCTTTGAGGTAAATGGCTTAAATCTTGAATCCTCACAACTCTTTTACTCATCAGGTTATAAATGTTTGCCAAATAGTGTTCCTCAGCACAAACATCACTGCAACAAACCTCTCTGATGAGTTGCTTCTGTTCCCTCCCAATAATTAATACTGTTTTTTAAAGCTAGTGGGTAACACATGCAAACAATGCTTTGGAGTGTATCCTGAGATGAATAAATTATAGGGATTAGAATTACCACGGTGCAGAGAAATGTTTGGATAGATAGAGGTACTTGGAATCGGTGCTTATTAAATGTGCTTGTTTCATTTGTAAAGCTGCATTAACTTAATGCTAAAGTTGTTTCTTGGGATGTCAGATAATTATCTTAATAATTTGTATTTATGATTCTGTGATATTGCTAGTTCAATGTGACAAGCGGGACAAGAGCTAATGTAGGAAAAGTTTGAATGTATACTCCTATAGTGATAATAGATTTACCATAAAAAGTAGTTAACAGTGAAATGTTCTCAGGTTTATGATATTTCGAGGATATAATAATGATGTCAATGCTATTGTGTCTGTGTGAACAATTATGTCCCATTGAACTTTGAAATGTTATTAAAGAGAAAAAAAAATTCCTTTTGAGAAGGGGTCATCTTTGCTTTCTAACTTACCACTCAAGTGTAAGAAGCACAATTTCAGAACTTTTAGCAGCTATGGGGCTTTGCATTGTATCAAGCACATGTTATATGATAGGCAATTCATTCAATTTACTTGAGGCAAAAATAAAATACTTTTTTTTAATTTCTAGGTCTCCCTTTTTAAAATGGAACATAATCTTACTTTGTAAGTGTTTGATTTTTGTTAAGGACCTTTTTGTCTAGTTATAATGTCTTATAAATAATTATAATTATTCTTAGCTTGAGTGACAAAATAACATAAAATAATTTAAAGTATAACTCATGGTTAAGACAGTGAGATAGTCATCAAGAGAAAGGACTCTGGAGTTAAGCTTCCCAGATAAGATAAAAGTCACAGCTCTGTTTGTGGCTCATTGTGTGACATTGAAGGAGTTACTTAAGTCTCTGAAACTTCAATTTCTTGTATGCCAGAAATACAAATGCAAAAACCATCTTTTCTCATAGGTGTGTTTTGATTATGGATTTAAATTCATATAAATCTTTTGACAGTTTCTGGTTTCTAGTCAATGTTCAATAAAATTTTAGTCATCATATCATTATTATTATCATATTTATTAGGGCCATTGCTATTTATTGATGACCTGGCATTTTGATAAATCTTTTATAAATGTAACAACTCTGTTACTCAATGACCCAACATGATCAGACTAAAGGAGAATGCAATTATATTTACTGTACCTAAACACATAGCATATTTGCCTTGACATTTAAGTGTAGAGAGAGGCCCTAGGGTACTTGTTTCATAAAAATCAACATGAGTTAAAGTACAAGGGGTCTAGATTTGAAACATGGATAACTCCTTTGGACAGCCTGCAAGTAAAAATATTTAACAGAAAAGTATGAGTTGACCACTTCACCTCAGAACAGCTGTGCTGGATTTTCATGTTAAAAAGTCAAGGGAATGACTATCTTTGACAAGAGCTTTCTTTCAGGCAATTATAAAGAAGACAGGGAAAAACATTGCTTGTGAGCAAATGTAGCAGCTCCTTCTCCATTTACCCAGACTTCTCTCTATAGGACTTCTAGCCCCAGGTGCAACCATTGAAGATGTAATTCCTGAAGTGTGTGAGTGCATATGGAGAATAAGGGCAAATGAAGAGAAGATGTCTTGGTTTTCTCAAGTAGAGATCAGTCATAATTAAATGCTTTCCTACAGTACACTTAGTGGATAAAGCTCCCATAATTAATACCATTCATACTATTTTCAAGTAATCTGCGTGAAAATGGCTCATACCTGCTGTTGCATCTACAGGAGAGTCATTTGATTAGCTAAGCCACCATGACCAAAACAAAAGATACAATGATATAGCTTACCTGTAGCAAAGAAGCATAACTACCTGCCACATCACATCTCAGAAGTCTGGTCTAAACATCACACCAAAATTTAATACATTTTTCCACCATTTATTTTAGCCAGGAACTCATTAGATAAGCAATTTATTGAGCCACTGGAACTACTGACTAAAAAGTCTCAGATTATAACTCAGCAATCTGTATTTCAAACAGCCTTCTGGGTAATTCTGGTGTACACACAAGTATGAGAACCACTGTTTTGAGCCAATGGAAAAGATTCATATTCATAGTTCTCTCCTCATAATTCATTAAGAGGCTTTATATTGTCAAGCTCATGTCAAGCTCAGTGCATTATATGCTGGGGAGAAGGTGGCTGAACTGGTGAATTATTACATTTTCTTCCAAATATCCCATAAACTGGTTATGATTAAGATTTTTGGTTAAACCACATTTGACACTTCAAAACAGATATCCCCTGCTTTGGCATTTTATCTAAAAGTAGATGCCAAGTAGGTCACTTGAAGGACTTCATACCATTAAAATGCATTAAGATATCCATACTAATGAGGCTAAAGTTTTCATTGATGAAATAACTTTTGAATGCACTTAGCTTTAAACAGTAAAAGAAAAAGAACAGATTTGTTCAAAGAAATGTACCTTCACAGAGGCAGGTTGTATTGACATACCGAGTAGAGGGCAACTGGAGACCACGTAGGGTCCACTGTGAGCTACGATGACCTCAGCTGGTTTTTTCAAGTAATTTCATTTCATGGCAATAATATAAAAATTTCTGGAGCAGTCATAAATTCTGAGAAATATGCATCTAAAGTTAAGCTTAAATATTTTCCCTTCTGCTAATAAAGTTAGTATGCAACTGAAAAATCTAATGTTTCATAATTTATTGTTGAAATATTTTCAATTTTAAGGAAAGCTGAAAGCAAAATATATGTCTTTATTAGAGAAAACAAAGCATATCTGGGATGTTGGGATAAGGAAAAGAAGTCCAGAACCATGCTTGGATTTTCAGAGGAGCAGACTCTGTTCTATTTCTTGAGACTACAGATTTGAAATTAAATAAACGTTCTAAGACATGAAACTAGAAAACAATTGTGTGCTACAGTATAATTCTGACCCTTAAAAATCTTTCATTGTTTATCAAAAATTCTAAATCTAAATTAGATTGTTTTAACAGAGTATATTAAACTTTATTTTGGACTATTTTACATTAACTCAAAAATATATTATAGTAGCAGAATATCACTGCCATTATTAACTTTTGAAAGGTCAAGCAGTCAGCAAAGAAATACATTTTTGATGATCTGATCTGTTAACAAGCATAGCTGTATCACAGGATCTATTAGAACCTCTTCCGTGAGTTCCTGTAGATATTATTTATCAATATGACCTTATGTGTCAGGGGGATATATGAGATATCCCCCCTCACTACTATTAGAATAACATGTGGCACATGGCAACTATTTAATAACTATTGGCTAAATGAAGTAATGGATGAATAATAAATAAGCGATGGCAGGTACATTTTTGCATCATCATTTATCCTCACAATACCTTGAGAGGTAAATATTAAGAAACTTATCAGCACTGTGATATATCTAATGTATTATATACATTCAAATTATATGAAGTATATATTACATATGTATATATACACACATACATGTGTGTATGTACATGTGGGTGTATACGTATGTGTGAGTGTGTATAAAATGTCTGATCCCAGATAAGCCTAGTTACAAGTTCTCTGCACCCATTGCCCTCAATATGCCAGGCGTCCTCAAAACCTTGTAGATATTTATAATTTCTATATATGTATTTCTGTTAAATTGGGGCTTAGACCTTCAATATTTTGGAGTGTGTAAGCATGACCCATCCATCCTTGCTTGCTTTGCTTTAGCAGTCTGAAGGTTCTTGATTGATTCTAACCAGTAAAATGCACACCAAGTGAACATTTAAAAGAAATAGTTCTTTCTATGTATGGACAAGGTGAGAAAACCCTATTCTGTTGTAACTTTTGGAATATTTTCCAAGGCTTCTAGAATATATGTCTATCTCTAGGAAGATCCAGCAATAATGAACAGCATGGTATCTTCAATTGAACCACACTGTCACTTTCTCAGGTAAAACTTAGTTTCTCTTTTCTCTAAATCCTTCTATAATGATATGAATTGTAAGGTGATAGAAAGGGGGTGAAGGAAAGGAAGGGAAGTTACGGTCGATGAAGAAGGAACAGCATAATGTTTGGCTTTCTATTAATTCTATTATTATCTCCACTTTATTTCTGATGATCATATTAACTTTCCTGAAATATTAACATCTATCTCTTGGAGTAGTTTTCAACTTGGGAAAGAAAGGAATGATCCATGAATGAGCTTTATATGGCTGTCATTCCTCACCTTGAAAATGAAATAGTATGAAATTATTTACATATGCGCATTTATGAGGGGAAAGGTCGTAGCTTTTATCAAATTATCAATGATGTCCATAACTGAATAAAACAAAACAAAATACATTAAAAGCCTTAAAGAAGGGTGCTTAAAAATAGATAGGCATACAAGACAAATCAAGTTATAACAATTATGATTAATTGAAAGGGGGGAATATAGGTAAATAAGAAATTTTATCAAAATCTACACAATAACCCAATTATTTCAAAACTGTAAAATGTAGTACAAACATATTCACAGTTCATATCTAATCAAAATATATTGTCTGGATATTTTTGATAATTTGCATGGCATTCCAGTTGCTACCAAGATTTTTATTCCATACCCATTCAACATGTTTAATGAGCTCACCATTTTTTTTTTTTTTGGCCTGAAACATCCTTGCCTTAAAGTTTATTAGGTGGCTATTCAGAGCATGTAGCTTGCAGTTCTGACATACAGGAAATACAGCAGGAGGAAGTAGATGAGGTTCTAATCTTATTGACACACTAAATGAAGTCTTCAGTCCTCTGGGTAGAATTTGGGACTCTGCCTTCATAAATGCATTGTAGAACTTCCAACATTTTTTTCAGCGTTGGGTTTTTCATTCACTTTACCTTTCTTGAAACTAAATTGAAGTAAACCAATACAACGCTAGGATTCCAGAAGAATGCGTCTATACAAAGTTTGGATTTTCCAGTTTCTTCTGCCTCTTGCATTCTTTTGGTGGACTCTGTATATCTGATGTGTACTTTGTATACTACTGAAATTATCAATATTAAATAAAAACCACTCCATCTCTTACCCTGATTTAAAAATCTATAGTTCATTTTCATTAGTAGGATAAAATTCACAGTTTTCCACATAGCTTAGAAGAATCAACACCCTTTTCAATCTTATCTCTTCTTTACCATGACTCTATTGCTTTGTGGGAATATCTCCTGATACCTCCTTAAGATTATAAACAGTAATTCCTATATTGAAAATATGTTCCATTGTTTATCCTCCCAGGGCAAGATTTTTCCAACTGGGTCCCATCTCCCACAAATTTTATAATTTTCTCTGAAGGAAATTTGAAAGATTTTATAGTCAACTATCCTTGGCAAACTCGAGATACCATATAATTTCCTTGGGGATTCATATGTATTTCTAAATGCAAGAGAAACTTGTAGTAAAACAAAACAAACAGAAGATCATGTTTAATTTTGTCTAATTTAATGTCTCCCAATCTTATTAGGTAACACACACACACACACACACACACACACACCAAACCACATCATATATTGGCATGCTACCGCACAAGTTTCTATGAAAAACTCACTTTGAATAATGCTATCCTCTAAAACTCCATTTGAGTCTTTAAAAGATTGGAAGACTTTCTCAGCCTCTGTGTGAAGGTGTGTATCTACATAGCTTAATGGTTACAGCCATGTTACCATTAGCTTCTCTGTCTTCCCAGTATTATCTCAGATCCTCCAGTACCAGATTGTATCCAATTTACATCACAAACACAAAGCCTAGGCTTAAAATCTCTTACTACCTACAGTCAATTTGACTTTCTTTAAAAAACCTGCTCATCATCATGGCTTTTATGAACAAATGGAAACAAGCGTATTCAGGTTTCCTACCTGGCTCCCATCCTAAATTCTTATCCAGTATTCTGTAGGTTGAAAATACAATAAAAATATATCAGTCCGTAATAGCCCAAGACTTTAAACAATCTTTTACACCATTTTCTCTGTAGATAATCAATCTCAATTAAATTAGGGGCCAGAATAAAACGTGAAATTTGTAACCATGCAAGATTCCCAGTCAATACATACAGAACTGCAAGTAAAACTTCGAAAGGTTTAGGTAGAATGTGTTTCTATATGATGATTCCAGCTAATTTTTTTTAAAAAAATTTAACCCACAGATTCCCATGGGGAAGAGTGAAGTATGGATCTTTCTTTCACCCTTGACAAATAAAGTACTTGTAAATTATCACAGGAATAGTTATTCCAATATTAGAGCAATAGATTTGTCTATTATATTGACCCATTTAGGAATCATGTATAGTGTGTTGCTTTAAGCCACCTCATAAACATATAACCATAACAATAAAACCCAACAAATATAATAGAAATAAAGTATTTTTTGCTTTGTAGACCACAAGACTGGTTCAAATAAATACCACTGAAAATTGCAAGTATTTATTTAGTATGTATTTGTATATCTATATATCTATATCTATCTAGTTATTCTGAAGATTTTAGGGTTTAAACTAACAGAGATTATGGCTCAGCATCACAAAACTAGTAAATAGGAAAGATCTGATCTCACATTTAGATTGTTCAAGCTCCAAACCCTCCAATATATATATATTCACTTTGCTTTGCTTTTCTGTCAAACTTGTGCTCCAAAAGTCATACTTTTGTTAATGACTCTCTTGAAATGTGTTTTGCTACATGTGGTTTCTTCAAATGTTGTTTTATGCATTCCATTAATTTACCATCTCCTTACTCCACCCAAAATAAAGTGAAAGTAGTATTTTATGCATTTTGTGGAGGCTATCAATTTCATCTGTTTTAAAATCAATCCTGTCTCCCTCTTGTGTATGCAGATATATTATGAAAGATGCCTGCTGGCAGGAAAGCTAAAATTAAATCTCTTATATTTATTATTTCATGAGTGTTATAAAGTGCCATAACTTCATTTTATTGTTTCACAGTTATTAGAAAAAGACTCACAGAAACTAGACAAAAAAAATAAAGTATCAAACCCATTCATTGCTAGTGTTTATCTAGGGATAATTACCTTTACTTCTCTTATTAAGCTTTATTTCTTTTCATTTAAGGTTTCATGAAATGCTTTTGAGTAAGAATGTCATTGGTCACAGGAATGTATTGTTTTCTTTTGAAAAAAAATGTTCACTCTTGATCAGACTCATATTCTCATGATTATTTTATAAGAGATGTGTCACACAGACATAGGATTTCAAAGTTCTGCTTCCTTGGAGAGCATTGCGACATCCTAGAAATTTCAGGGACTTTAGCACTTTTAAGAGCAGACTTTAAAATTCATTTTTGCCACTTTTCATGGTAAATCTTAAGTAAGACTCATAGTCTTTTTCGGTCTCAGCTTTTATATCTATAACATGTGGTTGCTAATACCAAGCTCCTAGAGCAGGAACGTTAGATGTGTGTGTACATTTTTCACTTATGTAAGCAATCAGATTTCTCAATTACTTCCATCTCCATAGCCACCACCTTAGACCTGGCTACCATTATCTTTTGCAGTTACAGCTTCCTAAATGTGCTTCCTGCTTAATCATGTGTGTGCATGTGTGTATTTTATTCAAGCATAAAACTCTTTATGTTCAATCTCATTTTTGCTTATTACATGCTAGTCACAGGTATCTTCCATTCTTCTAACAAACTGAGGTCATTGTCCATTCAGGATATTTGCACATGCCTATTCTGTTGGCTAGAAGACTGCCTTCATGCCCAGCTCTTTCTCATTTTTTCCAGTTTCACCATAAACAACACTCATTTAAAATCAAAAATTTATTTGACAATACTATATAAAGTAGATCCCTGAGTTTTCTTTGTTCTTTGTTCCTCTGTCTAGTTGCTTGAATATTTATTTCAAACCAGTTTTCAAAATTTTAAATTATTTTATTCATTCTATTCTTCTCATAAAATCTCTTCTTCACTAAATTCATAAGAAAAAATAATTTTTGACCCTTTCACATTGTTTCTTCAGATTGTATTACAACAATTAGCATCTTGTAGATGGGTAATAAATATTGTCCAATAAATAAATGAGGAATTTTTCATCTGAAGAGGTTAGCATGCATACTGTGTGTTTGTGAGTGGAACAAGTGTTTCCATGATAATATCTAGGAAATTACTTTTTGAAGTATCTGTCATTGCTGAATGAAATTATTTAGAGCCATGATTCTAAGATTTTGTGAATATATATTATGTGTCAAGCATTGGCTAGATACATATCATCCAGAAGTATAAGTGACTACCTTTTTATTTGAACTTTGATACCCCCATAATAAACAAACTTTATATTTCTACAATGTTGGTCAGAGGCAGAAAGATGAGATGAAAGAAGAGAAACCAAAATATTTTTGTTTCTCTTTTTTAACTCAGATATAATTACTTGACACCAAACAGCAACTTGTATGATAGTGATGAAGCTCAAATTATACCCCACTAGATTTATTTATAGTTACAGAAATTCTTTCCTGAAGAATAACTGAAACTGCCTGACACCTCTCAAACAATGAATATTTTCTGAGACTGAACAAAACACCTTGCTTCATGCCTCAGAAGAAAATATTCAATTCAGTCCCTGCACTGATAGATCATCCAGAGAAAGTCACCCTAATTCTGTATATGGTAACCAAGAGGTTAATATCTGAAATAAAGTCCAAGAAAGATCCTACTAAGGAGGTAAGAGTTAGAACACAGTTATGGAAGGTCCTCTGGCCAACATTGGTCACTGAAGTTCTATATTTTTCCTTCGTGTTTGGTTCTGAGTGTGGGGTTGTCAAGTATATTGAAGGAAGATACTGGTTTCTCCACATTTGTTACCTGTTCCTCCACTCGTCCAGCCAGATTACCATTCTCTTCAGAAAGAATCTGGTTTATCCCCAGCTGTCTCCTTTTCAGTACTTGATAGATGTTTTCTGTCTCTGGTGAAACTTGTCCTATATTAAGAGGTCTTTTCATTGAGATAGCTCCATTTCCCCTTCTCCCTTCAGCATCCCACCTGTCCAGAAGATTTGAAACATTTTCTGCAATTCTATCATTTACAATTTTAATTAAATGTTTGCCAGAGAGAAAATTCCATGAAGGTAAAAAAGGCTGATTATTGGGGTGTTGTATACTACTACATTTTCAGTATCTAGCCCAGTCCTGGAACATAGTTGGTGCTCAGTAAGTATTTACTGACTGACAGAAACCCACCACCCTATCAGACACACAAACTGTCAGACATATATTTGGCTTTCTGATTTTGGAATCCTCAACACACATTCCCATTTTTGCCATGGACGTTAGAGAGGAGTAAGTGGAGAATATCCTGTTTAACCCTCCTGTTAAACTGGGAGCCAAATAATCTGCAAATGACTATATCATGTCTGAATTAGACTATATCACCACTGAATTAGAGTCTAAAGATGTATACCATCTTAAGTCTTTTGACTTAAAACAAATTACCTGAAACTATCAGATTTTTTTTTAAAATATAGATAATTAGCAATGATAACATATATAATATTTAATTATGTAACAGAGAGATTATTTAAAAGGATTCTAATCAAATGTGATTCAGGTTGATTTTGTGTAATGGACTGTGAACCATTTCTCCCTATTTAGGTTATGGTTACACTTTTGAGAATACAAATTCAAGGGAATGTCACCTTTAACTTCAGAATCATGAGAAGGTGGAAAGAGCAGATATGATTTCCAATTCTACTTTCAAATTGAATCTAGACCTATTTTAGCTCAGGTATATCATGAACTGGAGATAACTGCCTAGACAAGAGAAAGCGACCTCCCTCTTTTTCTTCTTGTTTTTCATTCTGACTGTGTTTAGATGAGTTCAATTCAGTGGAAAAAATATAAAGCACAATAGAATTGTCTATGCTCATGTTGATACTCGTTTTCATTTTGTGAGCCGTTTTGAAAACCTCTTTACATAGGCCCTTTTGGTCCAGAGAGTTTATACAGCCTGGATTTTTTTTAATGGCTTATCCTTCCTTGATTATTGCTAATAATTTCCAGCTACACCATCTCCCAGGAAGCTGATCCCCTGAGTTTAGCCTTAAATCCACACCTTCCAGCCAAACAAGACATTTGAATGTCACCTGCAGTTTTTCTGAGGCTGTTGTAAAGCAGACATAAATTGTTCAAAAATATTGAGAAAGCTATGAATTTAATGGCTCATTCGGTTTTTTGACATTTATTTTTCACGAGCATGTGATCATCTGCTAAGGAATATTCTAGTTCCATAGTGAGTCAGTCATTTGTGTGGTATTATGAGAGACGATTGAAAGTATATCTTTGTTGAACTTCTATAAGTAAACACTTGTGTGAATAACAAATCCAAATTTTGGTAAATGTTAAATATAAAAATTAGATCATTGAGCATTAAAAGTGACCTAGAAGTGATGTAAGGAATAAAACCTGAATTCTGACTAACATAAAGGATTCAAAGAGTTCAAGAAAGTTGTTTCAACAACAGCATGTACATCAGTCAGCCATATGTCCAAAAATGTTGTTAAGTCATCAAAGATATGATCCTTTCATGTAACTAATGAACTCTAATAAATATGTCTAAACAGATCATTAGAGGATAAAATGGTGTAGCACACATACACACAACATAACCATTTCTTCAGAGAAAGAGTCATTCATTGTGATTTGCAAAAATCATAAAACAAAGAATCAATTTTTTATTTTGGTTTTGCATAGGAAAGATGAGAAAACAATGCATTTTTTTTTCTGAAGTTAAGAAGAACGACTGAGAAATCATTAGAACTTTGAAAACAGTCAAAATCCACAGGGCAAACCTACAAATTCCCAGAGATCCAAGAAACATGCTTGTCAATAACGCAAGTGAAGCCAATGTTGAGTTTTTGAAATATCAATGTCATTGACTCCTTGAACTTATCTGATGAGTTTTGCATGAGCAATGGAGTTTTATTTAAATTCTGAAGTATTTTACAGACTCTATGTGATTGAAAAAGTCTAGCTTACCAGTCTGTGATTTGGCTACATTATCTCAGCAATGATCTGGTCCACACAACAACCATATCTTTGAAACAACCTGCCATATTTTGATCAAACTCTCTCTGACAACTCAATCTACCAATTTAGGTAAATGATATGTATTGATATGTGTATATATAAACATATACACACTCCCTTCTCAAAGGATCACAAATGAAGATGCTCAAAACGTGTGATTGATAGGGGGTAATTCCACATGATAAAATTAGGAAACATTTAAGCTAATGTTAGAATATTATAAAAATAAACCTATATCTCTACTAAAGCTGAATGCTTTGATGAGAACATGGCTAGATGTTTAAAAGTTAATCAGTTTTATTATTAGAATTTTAGCTTTAACGTGTGTGTGTGTGTGCGTGTGTGTGTGTGTGGTGTGGTGTGTCTTATTCTGGTAGATGGAAACAATGCTAATTCTCCAGATACATGAGAGTAGTCTACGGAGAAATGCCCACTGTTTTATAGGAGGGTAACAAATTGATCATTTATAATAAAGCATACAGCTACAGTGCCAGTCCTTTCTTTAGGGGGAAAAAATCTGACTCTTGTCAGGTAAGCTGCTTAGCAAATAGTAAGTTTAATTCCTAACACCCACATGAGGCACAAGAATAGTTGGATTAACAACTCCAGTGTCATACTGTCAGCTGCTGTTTATTTAAATTAAAATGTCACCATCCAGAAATAAATTAGGAAGTTGAAAAATGATAAATTTCTTAAACATACAGTACTTTGGTACCTTGTTAAAATAAATCTATTACATTTATGGTTTTGCAGAACTTTACACAGGCTATTTCCATTTTGACATTCAGAGTATAGCAGATATTTGTTTCTGTTCATCTTGCTTGTTTAACTATTTTCCTCCCTTTCTTCCTCCCTCTTTTTCTCTCTCCCTCCCTCCCTTCCTCCCACTCCCATTCCCATTCCCTCTCCCTCTCCCTTTCCTTCTCCCTCTCTCTCACTTTCTTTATGTTTCTTTTTTTTCTGTTTTCATTGACCCATCTATGCAATATGAGGCACAAAAAATGTTCTACTAATACACACATGTAAAACGTGTTGTTCATCTTATGTTTATCTAAATATATTTACATATTTACAGATTTCAATATTCACTTCCTACAACTTTCTATAAACCACTGGCCTTCTTGGGTTTCACTATTATTTGGTATTCATATGTTTGCTGTGAAACAAATGTCTCCTCTCCACGAGGTTTTACCTTGCTTCTTGTCATTTGAAAGTAAAAATTCAGCCCCCGTCACTCTAAGACATCTCCTGCTATCATCCATATCCCAAGATATTTTAAGACAGTGATTTGGCTCTGGGTTTGTGGCACAGCAGGTTGTTCCACTTTAGGAGCCAATTTGGTCATAAGTAGGAAGAGAAATAACATCTGATGGAGAAAAAAAATTCCCTCTCTGTTCCCATTTGGATGTGTTTCTTGCCTGAGACTTTGCAGATCATAAATGATGCAAATGCACAATATAATGCAGGTTAGTCAAATATGAGACAGTTGTATACAAACATATTCAGCATTAACAACATGGAGATATTTACTTGGCCGGGTTTTCCATTTTCACATAAAAATGCCTCATATTCGGATGCGAATTCAGGGGCGTTGTCATTGACATCCAGCACTTTAATAGCAACAGGTACTCGTGATATCTGACTGTGGTTCCCTATGGGAAGGAAAAAATAACATCAGCATTGAGGGTATTTCATTTTAACGTGCAACTCAACTTTCTCTTGAAAGCATGTGTGTCTGTTTCCAACTTCCCTTAATTAGGATGTTTTCAACATGGTGATTATAGAGTCTGACCAAATAAGAAAAATAGCAAGTGCTTGACTGCTTTAAAAAAAAGCATAAATTGTTATTTCAAACACCATTTGCTGAGTTTAGCTTGATAAAGACCATTTCTGAATAAATTAAAAGAGGTTTCTTTGATAAAGCAAGCTTTATTTTATAGATAAGGGATCAATTCTTTAAAAGAAAAATGTTGTATACAACAAAAATGTATCTCTTTTTTTCTTGAGTAGAACACAACCCATTTTAAGCTCTTACTTGCTTGACTGGCTGTATAATAGAGATGAACACTTAAAACCTAGCAAAAGGCCAGAACTAAATCACTTGTTGAGAAGTGGTCCTTAACAATGATAAAAGAGGTAAGATTAAAGATGAAATATCATATATTTTATGAATCACATTTTTCATTAAAATTGACCCTGGAATATTTTTGAATAAGATGATCCCAAGTGATTTTAATATTGTCATTTTCATGAGGACTTTTATCAATGCAAACGAATAATAATCTTCTAATCTTTCCAGGTCAATTCCAATAGCAGAGAACTCAATACATAATCCTCAATCCCTGAATCCTTATTTTTTTAAGTTATGTATGCACACATACACACAGAAGGAGATCTAGTCCATTAATACATTCCTGACTTGGGACATGTTATGGTTTTCACTTGCAATAAATGGAATATAGTTTGACTTTGACTGTACCATGTAATAATCTTTTGATCTGTTATAAATTATACAGAATGCATTGGAGATAGCCAATTATTTATTTGCATTTCTGTGGCACTGAATATTTATAAGCAAGCCAAGAGGGGAAAAAATGTTTGGCTTTGAATATGAACAAACAGATTTTCATTTGATATATCAAACTCCTCTTTTTGACAATTGATTACATTTGGAGCTCTAAAATACTCATTTTTTTTTTTTGGTTAAAGATAAAAGTACTCCTAAAGTATACACCAAATAGCTATATTTATGCTACAGATTTACAGTTGGTTTGCCCTGCTGGCTCTGCTACAAGATTTGAATTTAGTTGAGTGCCATGACTACTCTCCAATATTCTAATTTGGTTAACTACAAGTGGCTGAATACTATCCTGAGGGATTAATGGAACTTGACTTCACTTCCCAAAAATCAAGGTGATGGCCTGAAATGTCTCACCTCATATACCCTTTTTAAATATATATCTAATGAACTTGTTTATTCTTCATTCAGGGAGGAAACATGCTCTTTCCTAGTTTTGATAGAAGGAAGAATCTAAATAGACATTTAACTTATGACTCTAACACAAGGCACTCATATTTTATCCTTTATCTATTCAACAAAACTCTAGGAAGTTTATAATTTGAGTAAGGTGTGGTTATATTTTTAAATATTTACTTCCGTTTTCCAGCCTGACCATTAGCTAAATAGCAGTTCTTGGAAAGTAAAAAGGAGCATAGCATTTTGTGCTAAACATGCACCTTTGGAGACCCAGCTTTTCCTTCTACTACTTGTGTGACTCTGAGCAATTAATTTAAACTCAATTTTTTTCCTAAAAAAACTGAAACTCAGAAATTTAACACTTTTGTTATAGAATTGTTATAAATGTCATGTGAGAAAAATTAAAAGTGTCTTATACAGTATTGGACACACATTCAAAGGTATTATAGCCTTTGCCTTTTGCAATTTTCCACATGAACAGCATCAGGTATATTGAATGTTTACTATTCATGATGCAAAATATTTCACGTAATCATATTTCATTCAATCTGCACAAAAAATCTATGAAGTAGCTAATGGGATCCCCATATGTAAGATGTAAACCTGACACTTAAAATATTATATAATTGTACCAAGATTACTAAGTTAAGCATCAACTTCAAAATGTGATTTTGCTCTTCCAGACATAAGCCATTTTCATAGTATAATACTGATGAAGTCCAAAAAAATACATATACATGTGTATTTGTGCCTCTGTGTGTGTGTATGTGTGTATGAAGGTTACTAATTACTACTATCTCCTCAAGAATGTTTATAAATTTGTTACAAATACTTACCTGAAATTTGATAAATATTTGAAGTTTTGGCCCAAATATCAAATACCGAATGTCTAAGGGGTTGTACCATCATGAAGAGTTTCAGAATTGCACTCGTAATCTGCAACTCTCCCTATGAAACTGTGCAGTTTAACTTCCAGAATTTTGCTTATGGTCCTATTTCACCCAACTGGAGTCCCGTTAATTGATTAACTTCTTTTTGTAATTCTCTGTTTTAATTCCAAGAATTGCCGGTTATTCCTTTTAACTCTGTAACACTCATTCTTTTCATTCGACATCCTAGACCAATTCCTGTGTGTGTAAATAATTAAAGAAACTTCTACTAGATATTTTTACTTTAATCTCGCTAAATATTCAATTAATAAATAGTGATTAGCACAGGCTTAATAAACTGCATGTACAGATTAGACAGTGAATAATAGGGGCACAGTCTTAGAAAACTGAAAGTATAAGAAAAAGCTACCATATTCCTTAAACATTATTTTGCTCCTTCTGAAGTGAAAAAATTGCTAATTTTACAGATTCAGATACACTGACAATGGTTGATTAGGCCAAGTCAACTATGTATGATATTATTCTTTGTTTTCCTTATCTTTAATATTACATGCACGTGTGCATGCACACACACACACACACTCATATCTACACACTGCAGGCAAACATGCATATACACATTTTCTTCCCACTCTTTTGGTTAAAAAATTGTCAAAGTCCATTCTTATTTTTCTCTTTTCTTTTTAATTTGGCCTCATGGTTGCAATAAATTGCAATTATCTCTTCAACCTAGATGACCAACAGGTGGCAAAACTCAGGCATAAAGAATGAACAAACTCCATCAGCTTCTTATTGGAGGCAATTTTCAACATTAAAGTAGGTTTTCTCATATGTCATATATGGGACAAAGTGTTATTTATCTATCCCTGGGGCCCAGTGCAAAATACCAACTAATATCTTTTTAGGAACAATGTGGGATTAGGGAGCTATTACTTAACACTGTTGGAAAATCATGAATGATATATAATGTTTTTTCAATTATCATCTTTCTTGTGTCCCGGCACCTCTGCAAGCGACTAATGTTTTAGTATAATGGTCAAAGAACTCTTTGTAAATAATTATTATTTTCTTCTTTAGTTTGTGGTTTGTTAGTTTATAGTTCGGTGAGAAACTAGGAACTAAATTTGGAACCCACTTTTTATAGCTGTAAAGAATATCATGGTACACAAATTCAACTATTTTTTACATTTATTTAACAATTACGCAAGTGTACTAAATTAATTTGTTCTTATTTAGTTGTAGATATTTCTAGATGTTTCCTCTTAATATTTTATCTATTTCTTTAGAAAAGTTAAGCAAAATAAAACCTAAACTGTTTACTCTGCACTGAAAAGCTATTTCCAGGTGGTTAGAATTTCTCTAGTTATCCCTCAAAATTTAGCATAAGTCACATCTCTTTCAGAAAGCCATCTTAACACACCGTTCAATTTTGTTTGTTTGTTTTCCTTGTTGCTTTTTAAGACTCATTACATGATAGCCTGAGGAACTCTACAAACCCAGTCTCCAGAAAAACTGGTGAAAGTTTTTTTAAAAATAATTAGTCTATGGAAAAAGTCCTAAGGGATACAGCAGGTGAGACAAAAAGATTGAGGTCACTGCCTCCTTCTCTCCACAAAGCACTTCACTCCTAAAGAAAGGAGTTTCAAAGCCATGGCTCAAAGATTTTGCTTGAGAGTGAAAGAGAAAAGCAGGCCTTGAAGCAGAAAGTTCCTTCATATACAAAGGAATGTGACCTTCAAGCCTAAGTGTAAACTCAAAACACTAAAGGTTGCTATGAAAGACAAATGAGAGAGTGTTGGTAGATCTGGTAGATTCACTGGAGAGAGAGGCTAGTTGCCAGAGAGAATGCAGATAGAGTCAGCTGAAATGAGCCTTCTAGGAAAAATAACAAATCTCAAACATTTATCTAGGGAATCATTTCTTTAACAGAGCCCAAATTTGAACAGATCATACCGTGGAACAAATTATGACCTAGGACGCTTTTGAATACAGTTGAGCAGTTGGCTGGCAATTAAACAACCTTAATAGCTGGATGTGGTCAGGGACAGAGACAATCAAAGAGAGCCCTGCCAAAACCACTGTATTTCCAGGTGTTTATGTAAATATCCAACACTGTACCTCTGGAGAAGTAAGATCACAGATTTTACACCAATGGGGAAAAAAGGTTTTACTAAAACAATTCAGCAAGTCACAAACAAGTGAGTAATAATTCCAAACTCCAGAGGAGGATTGGTAACTAGAATTGCTGCATTGTATTATTGAAAATATCTAGTTTCCAAAAAAAGTTACATGACATGAAAATAAGCAAACAATAAACAAACATAGGTCAGAGAAAAATCAGGCAAAAGAAATCATATGTGAGAGTGACCATATGTCAGATTTAACAGAGTTCAAAGTAGCCATTAACATATATTTAAAAAGGCATAATTAAATATGTAAATGAAGATGCCATAACAACATAACATCAAGTAGAGAATATCAATAAAAAGACAGAAATTATTAAAAAGGAAGCAAATGGAAATTGTGCAGTAGGAAATTACCATAACCAAAATTTTAAATTCACTAGAGAGACTCAAAAGTAGATTTAAATTGGCAGAAGAAAGAATTACTGAAAGTGAAGATCAGTAGAGAATCAAAGAACAGCAGTTAAAAAAAAATAAAGAAAAATGAGCAGAGCCTCAGTGAAATATGGGACACCATTAAGTGTCATATATGCATAATAGTAATGAGAGAAGAAAAGGAGACAGAGAATGGAGAAAAAAATGAACAAATAATTCCTGTAAACTTCCCAAATTTATTGAGAAACACTAGCCTGTATATCCTAAAACTTCCCCAACAAACTCTAAGTAGGATAAACACAAAGAGACTCACAGACATATCATATCTAAAATGCTAAAAGCCAAAAACAAGAACATTTTGAGACCAGCGGGAGGTGAACAAACAAACAAACAAAAACTAATCACCAGGGAACCCCAATAAAAATAGCAGCTAACTTCTCATCTGAAATAAAGGAAGTGAGAAAACAGTAGGATAACTTATTCAAAGTGTTCAATGAAACATAACTGTCAGCCAGGAATCCTATATCCATCACAAGTATCTTTCATAAATGAAGGTAAAATAGAGTCATCACCAGATAAGCAAAATCTTAGAAAATTTGTTCCTAGTAGAATCCCTGCTACACTCACAATAAATGATAAATTCTTCCGTTGAAAACAAAGGATCCTAGACAATAATTCTAATCCAAACGAAAAAAATAAAGAGAAAGGAAAACGGTAAAGGTAATTATGCCCTTATAAAAGACTGTATAAATCCACATTACTCCTCGTTTCTTATTTTAACCATAATTGCATAAAACTCTATGTATCTATTTATATTATCGTATATAATAGTATTGCTGAGCTTGTAACATATCAAAATGTAATATGTTTGCCAATCATAGCAAAAAGGAGGTGAGTGGGTATGAAAGTGTACTGGGCTAAGAAAATGAATTTAGGTTGTAATTCAAATCGACAGGAACAAATGAAAAGAACAGAAATGATGAATAAAAAGATTACTATAACAAAAGCTATGAATATATACTTTCACTCCTCTAAGATTCTTTTAAAAACACAATATTATATAAAGTAATAATTATAGCAATACAATTTTAGGGTTTATAATGTATATGTATAAGATGTACATCAGTGATATCACAAAATAGGAGGGGAAGGCAATAGAACTATATAGGAGTAGCATTTTTATATCTCACTTGAATTAAGATGATATACATCTGAAGCTTATTCTGCCAAGTAAAATGTATATGCTAAGCCCTGGAAGAACCACTAAAAACTTACAAATATTTGTTACAAATAATTACATACTTTTGGGTGTATGTTTGTATACAAATACATTTCCCTAGTCTCCAAATTTTCTGTAAGGAATATAACTGATTTGATAAACAGGAAGTAAACAGTGACTTTTTGCAAAAAAAAATCTTTATGCTGTAGGATTTGACATCTTACATGTTATTTGAGATTTGACACTAAAATAAAATAATAAGAAAATAAAAAAATATATTGTGCTTCATCAAAATTAAAAATATTTGTGTTTTAAAGGAAACTATCAAATAAAGTAAAAAGACACTGACAGAATAGAGAAAACATATCACATTCATATATCTAAAGTCATATAATCATAAAATCGTTCCTTGATATATTATTACAGCCTATTAATATGTTCCTTGGTCTTGCTTTTGCCAGTGCCCTTCCCACCCTTCCTGTCACTTTCAGATAAATTTCTCCAGCTGTTAATTTTTTTGTCCAGTATAAAATTTATCATAAAACAACTTTTGAGTTTGTACTGCCCTAAAACATTCTTTTCAAAATTATGTGGTTTAAATTGTAACTCGTTGATTCTTGAGCCCTCTATATCTCCTCCATAGTTATCTACGACCACAGTGATCCAGTAAATGATCAATGAATACCTCAAAACATTCAAACTAATTAATGTAATCTAACCCATAATCTTAAATAATATATTATTTTTATTAATTCATTCATTTTCTTGATAGCTTTATCTACTCTCTGCCCTCATTTTGATTATTGAATATGTGTAGTGATGTATAAGTACTCTTCTATGTGCCTTCAATATAAGAAAAAGCAAACAGAGATAAAGACTCTGTTCTCTCAGAACTTATAGTACAGTAGCAGAGAATAATCAAACAGTGTTGAATTATACACTAGACTGAGAGATATGAAGAAAAGCAGACAGTTTTAGTGCAGCACATCACAGAGAGAGCTTAACTAGGTTGGAGGGTTTAAAGAGGATGGACTTTGAACATTCGCAGTTGGAGTTGAGGTAGGTGAACTAGGAAGCATTCCATTTAGAGAACATATTGGGACCTTGTTGACGTTGACTTATCAACCTTGCTGGGGGGAAAATGATTTCCTTCAGTATTTGCAAGGATGCTACAATGAGCATGGGTCTCTAGCTCCAGTGATAGATCTGCTTTTGCCTTTTATGTTCACCTCCTACTCCCTTTCTAGGGCCATTTTCCAGAGTTTGTATTTTCGTGGCACTTCTGTCCATACTGGCCATGCCTGTGCCTACTTTGTGAGAGGCAAGTCCTTCCAGTTTTCTTAGACCATCCTTCTTTCAAAGTCCCTTACAAGCCCCACCTTTTCCAGAAGGCTTTTGTTAGAATCAGCAGCAATTATCATCTGCCTTCCTTCCTTCTCTCTCTCTCTCTGTCTCTCATTTTTTTTAACTTCACAAGAGTTGTTTAGAGTTATTAAGCTGTGTAGTAAATATTCTATCTATCCAGTAAATGTGAGATTTTCTTGTCTCTTCAATTAAGTTAAAAACATATTTCAAAAAAATTATGACTTTTTCTTTTCTTTTTCGTAAACTTGTTTATACTAGTTTCCTAGGGCTGCCATGACAAATTACCACAAGCTTCATGCCTTAAAGACATAGAAATGTATTCCTTTACACTCTCACACTTGGAAGTCAGAAGTCCAAAATCAAGGTCTCAGTGGTGCCACATGCCCTGAGAAGCCTCCAGTGAAGTATCTTTCTTTGTCCATTTCAGCTTCTAGTATCTCCAATATTTCGTGGTTTGTGATGACATAAATCCAGTTTCTGCCTCCATCTTCACATGGCTTTCTCGTCTTCTTCTTGTATCTTCTCTTCTATTTCTAATAAGGACACTTGTCATTGGATTTAAGGCCTACCTAGGTGATCTAGAATAATCCCATCCCAAGATCCTTACTTAATTACATCTACATAGACCGTTTTCCAAATGTGATCTTGGCAGGTTTCTGGGGTTTCGAACTGGACATATCTTTTTTGAAGGCCACTATTCAGTCCACTAAATTATCTCTTCCCAAAAGCTAGGACATTCATGACTAACTAAAATAATACTATCACAAATACCCTTTTGTCCTAGAAAACAGAGATATGCGACATTAATGTGGTTGTGCATAATTATTTGAATTCATTCTTCAAAATATCATAAATATCAGCTCAAGAAGGTTAAGTACCCCATAACTCTCTCCTGAGAATTTCGATAAATGCCTTTTGTCATTCATTCATTACCTTATTATTCTTCTATTCAGTTATTCAATACATAGTTATATATATATATGTCCAGTTAAGATGAATCTCCTACAACCAAGTAATCCATAGTATTTTAAGAAATATCACATTATAGTGGTTTATCTATATATTCATTTATCCTACAAGTTACTCATTTTCACTGTATTGTGGAAGAATACAGAAAGAAGAAACACTTTTCTACAGTCACAGGAAGATTTAAAATAGGGAATTATCTTTCGCCTTTAAAAATTAGGAAAAGTACTTTACTTTAGGTATAGAAAGGTGGAGGCCAGGAGCAGTGGCTCACACCTGTAATCCCAGCACTTTGAGAGGCCAAGGCGGGGAGATCGCTAGGTCAAGAGATCGAGACCATCCTGGCCAACATAGTAAAACCCCGTCTCTACTAAAAATACAAAAATTAGCTGGGCATGTTGGCACGCACCTGTAGTCCCAGCTATTCTGGAGGCTGAGGCAAGAGAATAGCTTGAACCCGGGAGGTAGAGGTTGTAGTGAGCCGAGATCATGCCACTGCACTCCAGCCTGATGACAGAGCAAGACTCCATCTCAAAGACAAATGAAAAACAAGAAAGAAGGAAAGAAAGAAAGAAAGGAAGGAAGGAAGGAAGGAAGGAAGGAAGGAAGGAAGGAAGGAAAGAAGGAAGGAAAGAAAGAAAGGTGGACAATTGTTTCAGATAGAGTAAATGGCATGTAAAAAGGCCCAGAGACCATGCCATCACCAAATAATCAGGAGTTCTAATGGTGGGACTATCCTGAGATAAGGCCAATGGTGATATTAGGAGAGAAATTGGGGGCCATGTGAGGACAAGTATTGTTTTATATGGCAATGAGCCAGATATATATCATGTGATCACTGGCAAGCCGTTGAACTATTTCTGGATCAGATTTCTTTTTTAAAAATTAGCAAAAAGCAGACTGAAAGAGAAATTATGTTTCATTTTGTTTAGCCCTAAGTAGATGAATGTTTATCCCAGGTATATGAATGCCTCAGAAATCTACTGGGTATTTCTTGAAACTGCTAAAACACAGAAAAAACAATAAAACAAATAAAACCTATAGTTCCATGTCCCCAAACACCACCAAAATATCTTATCTTTATCGATATTATATGAACAGACATGACTGAAATTACAACTTATAATTTCCAACATAAGTGTCATATTTAAATACTGAAGATTCACTTGTATCTAAATTAATGAAATGATAGCAGTTCAAATTTTAAAGATATTATAGAGCAATAAAACTAATCAGATAAGCTTCTAAGGAAATTATTTATGTCCTTTGTGACTGGCCCCAAAATGTTTGCCTTTCATCTGATATACAAACACTAAATATAAAGATATTATAATTAGAAACTTGATTAACATTCATTAAAGATTAATTTGCTAAACACAAGAGATGTGACAAAGTGGTCTGGAAGGAAAAGCCCATATCAATTGGTCACAAAAGTCAGGCGGTTTTCACATATGATAGAAGAAAAGGCTGAAATAGCATCTGGTATAAACAAGTTCTTGACTTCTACCATTTGAGTAGTAGTGACTTCCTATCACCTCTCTGTCACATACCCTCATGAATTGCCCATTAATTTTGCCCTTTTATAATGAAAGGTAATGGAATACTGCCAAGTCTAAGTTACTTGGGAATTTGCTTTTAACTGGTTTCCATGAGCTGCTGTTTTTGCAGGCATCGATTGAAATAAACAGACTTGCCTTTTCAAGCTATAAGAGAGAAAAATGATTTGACAAATTTAGGTTTACTAGTGGGGCACAATAAATAATTCTTGAGCTTTCTACAAGTAGAAGGGTAGAAGCTATGAGCACTAAATTATAGTCAATTGGGGAATGCAGAATAAGAGAATTTATAATTGAATAGGTAATAAGAGGAGCAGTGGAATTTTATAAAAATAAGAAGATGTGAATTGAATATATCATGGAAATACAGCAACTTAGTAAGCTTAAAATAAAATTGATGGGAATTTGAAAGAAGATATTGGAAATAATGTCAATAGTGGGGTTAAGCTCTCAATGACTAAAGACGAAACTTTTTGAGACACATTTTGCCCATAAATGGCATATTAATTTCTAAATCATTAGTGATGATTTATCAAATCCATAGATTATTAGATAGCTGAGGAACAAGTTAGAATGTAATTAACCAACGGACACCAAGAGGGTAGCCATGCTTCTGGGGATATTTTTGATAGTTTTTATCTTTACAGTATTGTTTTTATGCATTCCCCTTTCTCTGTTATGGCAACTGTATTCTTGCTGTGGTTCAAATGCAGACTTTTGACACCATCAAATACTTATCAAAAAATGTCTGCGTTGTGTTGTACACAGAAGGAGGAGTTGACCACCAGAATTTCAATAATTTTTGAGGATAAGATTGTGAAATTTCCAGCAAGCCAGAGTATAAAGAGTAGTCACTTTATTTCACTCCTTGAAATCCCAGTCATATCTAGAGTAGTTTATAATTAAATTAGAACTTTAATCAAATTGGGGCTTTAGTGTCTAATGAACAAAGCTTATAAGTTATAGCCTTTCTATTAACCAAGAAGTGGCTCTCTCAAGAGAGGGGAAGAAATTCTTTCTCTCACTGAGAAAGCTGTGGACTTAGACATTTTTGAAAATGCCTTAAACTCCCTGGAGAAAGTGACTCTTAAACAGTGACTTTGATTCAAGCCCTCACTGACCCCTGTGTGTTTTCCCTGACTGCCAAAAAGCATGCTATCTTGCTACTCCATTTTCAAATGCTCTCTAAATGGGGAGAAAATGTGCAGGTCTCTTGTTTATTACATTCGTCTTCAGTGAACCTGGAAATAGTGGAGTTCTGTATAACCACTTGGCAAGTTCTTCACTCCACCTTTTCCTACGTATCTACAATGAACCCTCAGAATCCTTTCTCCTCCTCACAAGAATTGACATCTTGAAAACCAGGGTAGGCACATTTACGGTTGTAAAATTTTAATCCGATGGGGAAAAGATTTAGAGCTACTGGAGAGAGACCTGACTTTATCCTTCATAGCCTTTTAATCTTAGATCCTTTCTTTATATTTCATAAATGTAAAATTTTAGTAATCACACTCCAAATAAAGATAACATGAGAGACAGTTTATAAAAATCAATAGTGTGAATGAGCATGGAACTATTATGTTTTCTATTTTTCTCTTAATTTGTGTTTTATAATGCGTCCTACTTTTAATTATTTAAGTATGCTTACAAATTTGTTGTCCTCTGTTGTCTATACCGTGCATACAAATGTCATCTTTTTTGTTTCACTTTTGATGCGTGTGTATGTGTGTGTGCACATATATGGCTTTTGTTTCTTTTGTTTTAGTTTTGATCTGTGTCTTCATCCTATTATGTATTACTTTGGTTCAATTTGTAACTCTAAAATATTGACTCCTTCCTTTTATACCCTTAAGTACATATTTCTATCCTGTTTACATATCTCTTATTTTTTCCATGGTGCAACAGGTAAAGAAATAAAATTGGATAGTGAGTTTATTGCTTCTCATGTCCCTTTTAGTAAACTAAGTCTTCTTTGCAAAAATCTCTAATTCTACTCTGCCAACTGAGTTGCATTATATGTCAATTACTAAATCCTTAGTGGTATTTCCCCCTAATTGTTTCAAATAGGATTGACTCGAGATTATTGGAAGTGAATTTCTTGAGTTTACTTTGCTAAGTGTTTCTATTTAATCTCTTATATTTTAGAACCTTAGGGATACTCAGTTTCAGAGGAATTAATGTGTCGACATATCTAATGTTCAGATTAAACATTCATTTAATACTACTTTACAACATAGTGACCCCAGTACATGCCCATGCAAACACAAGCAACACACACAATTTACTAGATACGAAAGCTAATATTGTAAACTACCCAGCATCTATTGAGTGATCTGTTATACCTCACTCTCTCTTTGAAGTTTGTCAGATCAAAATGAAGATTTTTTTTTCAAATGGGGAAGAGATTTCAGGGTATATATGGGTTGAAATCAATCTATATGTAATATATAACATAGCATTAGGTTGGTGCAAAAGGAATTGCAGCTTTTGCCATTACTTTCAATGGAAAAACTGAAATTATTATTGCACCAACCTAATATGTTGAAGAAGTATGTATTGTTGAATATCTACTGAGTCCAAACGAAATCATGCCACTACACTCTAGCCTGGGCAACAGAGCGAGACTCTGCCTCAAAAAAAAAAAGAAAAGAAAAGAAAAGAAAAGAAAAACAAACAAACAAAAAAACAAACCAAGAAACCTAGGGTGGCCTGACCAACAAGTAGCAAAACAAACAAAATTAATTACTTCACACAGGTTCTCTTTAATATAGCATTTGTACAACATATTCCATATATATATATATATATATATATATATGTATTTTTTTTTTTGAGACAAAGTCTTGCTCTGTCACCAGGCTGGAATGCAGTGGCACAATCTCGGCTCACTGCAACCTCCACCTCCCGGGTTCAAGTGATTCTCCCGCCTCAGCCTCCTGAGTAGCTGGGACTACAGGCGCATGCCACCACGCCCGGCTAATTTTTTGAATTTTAGTAGAGATGGGGTTTCATCATGTTGGCCAGGATGGTCTCGATCTCCTGACCTCGTGGTCTGCCCGCCTTGGCCTCCCAAAGTGCTGGGATTAAGGGGTGAGCCACTGCGCCCGGCCAATATAGTATTTTTAATGCTGATCACTCTGCAGCCAATGCACAAGTATAATAAACTAATAATGTCAAAAGAAAGGTTTGGTGATTTCATTAACATGGAATTTTTTTTCAGTGAATTCATGTTCAGAAATTTTAATAGTCATATATTTTTGAATATATGATGGTGACTTCCTTATTTTTTTTATGTGGAGTCAATTTTTGCATTTAAAGTAAGCCATGAGAATGAAAAGCATATAAATGTTAAGAATTTATTATAGTGGATTTTCCCAGAATGAACGCACCCATGTAACTATCACTTACATCAAGATATCCAAAGTAGCCAATACCCCAGAAGCCTTTCATTTACCCCCTTCCAAGTCATTATCTCCCTCAAGATAACCTCTACTTGGTTTAACAGTATGTTAGTTTATCTTCTTCAGGAATTCATAAAGATTGAATTCATACAGTGTATACATATTTGCATGTAGATGCTTTAGTTCAATGTAATATTTTTTCATTCATATAGTTGCAGCAGTACATCAGGCTTTTCCATTGTTTGGAAAGAATTCCATTGTATGAATATACCACAATTATTTATCTGTTCTCTTATTGGTGGGCATTTGGGTTCTTTCAGTATTATGCTATTTTGAATTTCACTATTATAAATATTTTCTATATGTCTTCTGATGCAAAAATATATTAATTTCTGTATATTACATATTTCAATATCCTGTGAAATATTACAGGTCATGCATACATTCAGCTTTCGCATTTTTTTCCAAATATTTTTCTAATGTGGATATACCAACTTACCCTCTGACCAGCACTGTACTAAAGATCAAGCTGCTGCATATTTGCATCAATACTTGGTAAAATCAGTTATCTATTATTCTGTTTTAATTTTAGAAATTGTAGGAGTGTTGAAGTTGTATTTTAGGTATATCTCAATTTGCAATGTCCTGAATATTTGATACTTAGGGCCTTTTCTTATGTTTACTGGCCACTTGGACATCTTCTTTGTGAAATACCTGTTCAAATTTTCCTTTGTTAATTAAGTTGCCTATATTTTCCTAATTGATATGCCTACACTATATTAATAATGTGAGTCCTTTAGTAGATATATGTACCACAATTCCTTCTTCTGCCCAATGGCTTAATTTTTCTTTCTCTTAGTAGTATCATTTGATGAGCATAAATTCTTAATTCAATCAATTGAATTCATCAATATGTGCTTTTGTTAATTTTAGTGCTTTTTTCATTCATTATTTTCCTATTCCAGAATTTGAAAATCCCATGTTAACTTTTGGAAGGTCTATTATTTTAGTTTTTACCTTTATATCTTTGACCTATGTGAACATTATTTATATTGACGGTTGGAAGCACAAGTCACAGTTCAGTTTTTTTCCACTTGCAGGTATCCAGTTTATGGTCCACATTATTGCTATTTCCCCCTGTGGCATCTTTGTTATAATTCAGTTGAGCATTTTCTCTGCAGGCCTATTTCTGAAGTCTTCTATTCCATTGGTCTATTTTTCTATCTTTTTAGTCCTACAATCCTTTAAGAACTCTATCTTATAATAAACCTTCATATAATGATATTATAAGACAAACAATTTTGGTTCTTGGTAAATATTTTATTATTTTTGCCCTTTAAATTTCTATGCACATTATAGCATCATTTGCCAAATTATACACACACGTGCACATGCACACTCACACACACACAGAAATTTTGGAATGTATTGATACTGCTTAGATTCTACAGATAAATTTAGAGAATTGACATTTTACATTTGAATCTTTCAAATTGCAAACTTTGTATCTTTAATTTTTATCTTTTGTGTGTTTAATCTGTATCTTCATTTGTATCTTTAATTTTTCTCAGTAATGTTTTGTAGTATTCTGTTTAGAGGCCTTGCATCAGATTGTTTTGCTATGTAATTGAAGTCTGCTCAATATTATAGGTAGTATTTTGTTTAATTTTCTGAGTATTGGTAGAAAACAAAATGCAGTAATTTTTGTAACTCTGACAACCATGCAAACTTGACTTACTATTTATAATAGTTTATAGATTATTTTTGTATTTTTGTACTCAATCATGTTGATTGTGAGTAATGACAATCATATTTCTCTCTTTCCGATATTTATGCTTTTATTTCTTCCTCGAACCTTATTGTATTGACTAAAACCTTCAGTATAATTGAATAAAACTAGCAATGGTAGACAACTTCATCTCATTTGGAATCTAAGTGAGAAAGGTTTCAGCATTTCACCACTAGATCTGATATTTACTATATGTTTCTTTGTAGCTATGTTTTATCAAATTAAGTCCCCTTCTATTTCTAGTGTGCAAAGAAATTTTATTATGAAAAAGAAATGCATACTTAACTTTTTCTGCATCTATAAAGATAGATCATCTTTTTCTCTATCTTCTCTCAATATTTTAATTTGAATAAAAACATTTTTAAATGTTATAATCTGTCCTTGTATTCCCTGAGTGTAATGTTTTGGTATATTAGTGAGTTTGTTTTGCTAATATGTTACCTAAGATTTGTATATCAGAAGCAGGCTGTTAATTCTCCTATCTTGTAAAATTCTCATCAGGTTTTAGCATTAAGATTACACTGACTTTGGGACATTAAGTGGGAAATGCTCCCTCTTTTACTTTTCTCTGTTGAAATTTATATCGGTGAGTTCATTTGAGCATGAGAACTTATGTGTCAGAGTTGGTAATTATGTATTCAATTATTCAATAGAGAAGTAATAGACATATTTTTCTATTTTTTCTTATTTATGCCATTTTGCAAAGCCTGCGTTTTTAAACTCGCCTCTATCACAATACATTTTAAAAGTTTTTGACATAAATATGTTCAGTTCATGCTGTGTTTATGCTAAATGTATTTATATTTTTGCCAATAACTTTTAAAATTGGAATAAATATTTCCTTTATCTTTTTTCTTTTTTTCCTTTTTAAAAGCAGACTGCCACACGTCACACCTCATTTGGATGTGTCTGAGGTCTTGGAAGCTCGACTACCCTACGTTCTCCTACAAATGAAGCTTGAGACCGTGTCTGAAGAATCTATCACGGGAGCACAGCTACTCCTATATCCTTGACCAAAGACCGGTCCTCCTCGGGGATGGTCATTTTCTTCCACGAGGCGTGCAGCTTCGGGAGGGATGCCCGTGGAGTGGTGAGGGAGGAAGGGGACACCCGCTTAGCCAGCCAGATCAGCCAAATCAACCCTGGCAATCAGTGGGGTGACAGGCGTCACAGCCTGATCGCCCTCATATCCTTCCATTATCTTTTTGAATCTCTATAGAAGTTGTAGCAATGCTTCCTTCTTCATTTCTGATATTGATGACTTGCCTTCTTATTTTCCCTTGCAAGGTTTTATCAATTTTATTCATTTTTTGAACAGCCGTTAGTTTTGTTGAATTTCACTATCATACATTTATTCTCAATTTCATTATTTTCTATCCTATACTTATTTTCACCTTTCTGCTACTTTTTAATTTTAATTTTCTTCTCATTTTCAGCCCCTTTGAAGTGGATGCTTAGATAATTGATTTTCAGCACTTCTTCTTTTCTAATGTAGACACTTAAGGTCAATTTCCCTGTAGGCACTCTGTTAACTCTATTCCACATGATTTGCCATGTCATTGTTTTGCTATCATTCATTTTTTAAATGTGTTAATTTCTTTGTTTTTCATGGGTTTTTTCCTCTGTTTTTCATGGGTTATTTAGAAGTGTGTGGTTTAATTTTCAATACTTAAGAATAATTTAAGTTTTTGTTGTTGTTACTCATTTTTATAACTTAATGCTACTGCTCAGAAGGTATATACTGCATGTGTTGAGAGTTGTTTTATGACACAGTTTTTGGCCATTTGGGGTCAATATTTCAAGTTTGTTTGACAAGAATGATTTTTCTGTAACTCTTTCGTGCAGTATTTTATACCTTTCAATGAAATAAGCTTATTAATCACGATATTCAAATGTTCTCTATCTTCGGTTTTTCGGTCTACTTGTTCTAATTGTTGGTTTATCTGTTGCTCACTTAGATTCTGCCAAAGTTTTACTTTATATACTTGGCAAATACATTATAAGGTATATATGAATTTAGGATTTTTACATCTTGCTGAATTTAGTTATTTATCATTATAACATTTTTCTCCATATTTGGGGAAACATTTCTTTCTCCTTAGTTTACACCTGAACAACTTTCCTTCAGTTTCAATTTGTAGTCAGATCTTGTTTCAATCATCTCAGTCTCTATTTATCCTTATATTACAGCTTTATCTGTGATAAGAGACATGATCTGTGTCTTGCTTCCTTTTTAAATCTAATCTGAAAATGTTTATCTAATATTAAAGTATGTAACTATATGGGTTTGGATTTCTTTTTGTACTTTTTAAATGTTTTTTAAAATCAGTTATTTCTTAGTTTTCCCCTTTTCTATGTTTTTTAACTAATTAGTTTTAATTATTCCATTTCCCCATTATTATATTACTTATATAGTCTTTAATATTATTTTAGTGACAACACTAAATATATAATTCATATACATATCCTTGATTCATTAAAGTATATCTTAAATAATGTATCAAACATTATATCTATAATGAAAGAATATTTGCAATGCATTGTTTATGATAATTTATATTACACCCTTCCCATTTCCATCATTTTTGTTATGTATTTTAATTCTACCTCAACTTTATACATGTAACACATTCTAATTATATTAAGTAGTATATATTATTTTGTATTTTTCCACATATTAATATTTTTGTTTATCTTCTTTCTTTTCTATATTATCATATTGCCATTTAGGCTGGTTTTCATTTTTTTTTTTTAGAAAAATATATTTCTAAAAATGTTTTCAGTGAAAAACTGCTGCTAATGCATTTTATCAAGTTTTTTTTTTTCTGAAAGAAAACAACTTAATTTGAAGGCTCTTTTCTCTTGATATAATATTTTGGCTTGGCAATTATTTTCCTTCTGTCCTTTAAAATGACATTCTTTGTCTCTGCCTTCCATAATTTATATTATCAAATAAGCTGTCTGCTTTTGAGACCTTAATTTTTTGGGTTAATTTTAAATTCTCATTGTCTTTATTTTTAGCAATGTTACTATGATGTGTCCTGGTATGCTTTTATTTGTATTTACCCTGTTTAAGAGTTTACTGATCCACTTGAATCTATATCTTGATGTCTTCTATCAGATTTGAAAATTTGTGACCATTATTTCTTCAAATATTGCATCTTCTCTGGCCTTCCTCCTCTCTGGAGTGTCAGTTTCAAATATAATATACTTTCGCTTTACATATAATCTACATCTTATGCTCATATTTGTATTTTTACTATTGTTTTCTTTCTGTGATTCTTCCTGTTTCTTTTTGTCTCTTTTCTTTCTTTTTTTTTTTTTCTATTCTAAATCTGGTTTGCAAATCTTCTGTTTCAGTTGATTATATTGTTACTTTAACACACCGGATTTTTCAGCTTCAGACCTTTTCTTTGATTATTTTTATAGGCTCCATGTCTTTGGGCAAAGTATCCATCTCACTTGTTATCTATTTTCTTGGACATGTTAACTATATATATTCTTAGTTGGAAAATTTGAATATATGCATCATTTGGATGTTTTTCTATTGTCTTTTTTCTGACTGTTGCAGGCCCACTCCTCTTTGGCAGCATTTCAGAATTTTTTAATTGGATTTTGAAAATTTCATATAAAAGGTGTTATCTCCCTTTAGACAAATTTGGTTTTCTTCTCCCAGGAAGATATGTTTAGATAGATCAATTTGATACCACTAAGACCGGATTTCAGAATTATGGGGATTAATTTAATTTCTGAGTTTCTGTTACTTCTAGGGTCCATTATTTCTTTTACACTGCTAAAATATTTGTTTAGCTTTTCAGCTTCTTAGTACTAGCTCTTTGAAACGTTTAAATCCTCTTATTCTTGCACATGTTAAGATGTGGCCAATTCATCAAGGGTGAAAAAACACCCATTCTTCTCTAATTATCTTTGCTCTGTGACCTTGGCCTCTCAATTTCTAGATACCTCGGTAACCCTGAAATCTAACTTTTGTCTCCAGAGTCCCATAAGTCCATCAAAAATTCCAGGTCACTGATTTCCATGTGGTCTCTATGCCCTGTGAGTTGAATCAGTTAAACTCTGAAAGGAATACGCAGTGCTGAATTGAGGAGTCACCTCAATTTGTTTTCTTTCTCTCTGGTATCTGAGTTCCTTAGTTGCTGGCTGCCTTTAAATCATGTTGTTCTCCCTAACTTTATGGTTGTTCTCCATGGGAGAGTTTGTCTGATGTAAGTTACCATCATAGACGTAAAGAAAACACTTGATTCCCCCCCAACACACACACACACACACACACACACACACACACACACATTATGATGTAATATGTTCATTATTTCCCCCAAGAAAAATAAACTGCAAATCACCCTGCACTTGTTTAGCAACAGACAAAATTTACTCTAGAAGGACTCTAATCCTCCGTGAGTTCAAAGGACACTGTGGTCAGTGCCAGACAGAGTTCATGGATGGTGATTAAGATTGTGCTATCTTTAGTTGATGCTCTGGCTACAAAGCCAGACCAATTTCTTGAGACCGCTTTTCCTCAGTCTATGCTTTTGCCACAGTAAATTCTGCATTTATTGTGACAGTGGACCAAGATGCATGCACCATATTGAGTTAAATAAACAAATACATAATTCAAGATGAACGATTAGCAGAATTCAAGATGAATGATTAGCAGAACTGGCTGAAATGATTATAGTACAACCCACTATCTCAGTGTCAAGTACATAAAAATAAACTAGATGTTGTTGATTTACTCCCAGATGTTAACATTAAATGCCTTGGATATATGCGAATGTAAACATAGATCACAGTTACATTTATACATTACTACTTCCTCTAACTGAATTAGTATCCATAAAATCATCCGTCCATCTATGCATGTTAGAAAGGTAACTAGAGATAGAATATTATGTATTCTTGTAATAAGATTGTAAAAGATATATTGAGTAAAATATGCAAATCTGCAAGGAACAGGAAACATTCTTTTTGGGTGTTGGTTTTCGATGTACTTGCAGAGGTAATGCAGAGGGCCTGTGTATAATGACATTATCCTGCTCAAGATGCTTGTAAGCCTTTTTAAAAGGCATAGCTAAAATGATGTGCTAGCTTCAAAAATTCACTTTTAAAATACTCATCATGTTCACTTTTAAAATACTCATCATGTTAATGGAAAGTTAATAAACTAATCTTGGACCCAGTATATCCATCATGCAAATTTTCAATATAGAGCAACAGAGATGCTGACAGGGACAAAGCAACAAGCTTATTCCAAAACATTATGAGAAAGTGAGAAAATATAGACCAATATTGGAGTCTTCAATGTTATTAACAAAATAATTCCAAATAATGTCAAAAAAGAAAAACCTGCTAGAGGTTTATTTTTACCCTGAATTAATGTAGGATGGGAAAACCTTTCTTTGTTACCAGAAATATTTTAATTTCTAAAATTAAAAAATGGTAAAATTAAAAAAAAATTGTTGGCACACTAAAATAAAAAAAAAAGATGCAGGAAGAAATCCACTGTAACTAAAAATGCTAAGTTCAATTGTCAACCTCTGAATTTCTGCTGTTGCAGACAATCCAGTTGTTTCTGGTGGTCTCCTTGACATCGCCGGGGCAGGGCTTTGAACACAGTTATTTGGCTAAAAAATAATTTATTTTCATATATTGTCACACGCCTCTTAGAACATCAACCAGTTTGATGTAGATTTTTTCCATCAAGGCATTGGAACCAGTCAGTGGAGAATAAACCACTTTGGTTGACTTCTTCCTCAGCACTGTTCTAGGTGTTAGAGAGATTAATATGGTTGGTGTCCAAGCTCTGTGTATTCTTTATATAAGTCTCAGTCAGTACAACCAAACTAACATTGAAATCCTACTTGCAAACCACTACCCTACTCCATTAATAATCTATGTCTGCCATTTGAGAATGTCATCATCATCATCATCATCACTTTTTAAGATTACATGCTGTTTATTGAACACTTATTTTCAGGCACCATGATTTTAATTTTCCTAACAATCCTATGGAGAAAGTGGCATGATTATTCTCTCATAAACACTTAACATATGATAATTCTATTTTCCAAGGTAACTTTCCAACATCCATTCATTAAACAAATACTGACTTTACACCTACTGAGTGCCAGCTACACTTATAGGCGCTACAGATACCAAACAGAAAAACAAATAAACAGAGTAAACACACATTCACTTATATTCATAGATACTTAGAAATAAGGGGGATGTCTGAGATATTATTGAAACTTACGAATAAAAATAAAACTAGGTAAAGAAAAAAAAAGGGAAATGTTGGAAGGGGTTAGTCCTTCTAAATGTCGTTTCTCCACCCAAATTCCTGTCTCTCATGCTTACAAACAATACATACAGAGATGCAATACCAGGTTATAAGAATGTAAACTTCCTTTCTCTATTTTCTTCTCCCAATGACCAATCCTGTCCTATCTCTACTTAGTTCTGACAACTTGACCCGAGCATTCATCCTCAATATGAAAATGAAACAAGACCTCCTTCTTTGTGAATGCAGGGAAACTTTATCTACTCTCAGCAGCAGGCCTGTTGGCAACCAATAATGATCACAGAGTAATGGCTTCCAAAGGTCAAATATGCCCTAAAATATTTCTCCAACTGATGTTTGAGGAGGGTATAGGTTGTTCAGAAGGAAAATCATTATTGTCTTTCTAATACTCTTCTCTGAAGGTAACAAATGAGCTTACTGAATACTGGCTCTTCAAGCCCAGGCTTACAATATTGAGGTAAGGCAGAGTAGCAAATTCATTTCATTTGGAATATCTACAATAAAACGTACACAGATTTTTTTATAGGTTCTTGTGGGTATCAGAACATTTGACATCATTTGATTCAATAGTTCTAGTTTGGAACCCAGGAACTTTTATTAGAGGGGGAAAAAAAGGCCGCCAGAGCTTTGAGCAAGACCAATATGAATGATAAGAACCATAGTGGTAAAACTCTGTATTTAAGAATCTTCCTCTGTCTATACCATGAATCTTGCAAGGGTTTGAAAGATAGGCTTAATACTTCCTATATTTATATACAGCCTTTCAGAAGCTTTGATTCTAGAAAGAAAGAATCTGTCCCAGGATTTCCTCTAGCAGTAGAAAATTGGACTTTTATCTGACTGGTAAGCAAATATTACAGTTTAGAAAACCCCAGTTAACATTAATAGAAGGTAAATTCCATCTGGAGAAAAATTTTGAGTCTTTTTTTGTTCAAGGTTGTATTCCACATATTGTTCACTGATGTATTCAAAACAGCACCTGTTATCCTAAAGTCAAGATAATACCTATCTCAGGGGTGACTGAAAGGCTTGAATGAAATTATATATAAAAGCACCAAGCAAACTGCAGTGCTGAAAGAGTTAGCCCTTGTTTATTTGTCCCCGTTTTATTTTGCTCTGAACTTCCAAGTTACCTCTTTACTGGTTCACCTTCCTCTGAGATCCTGATACCTCTGTGTCTAATTCCATAAACACACCTTTCTCCTTAGCCATGATTCCAGAAAACTTAAATAGTGACATGTAAACTATTTTTAAAGGAACTTTGTACTTTACTGGCACCTTTTAAAATATATATATTTTTAATTTCAAATTTTATTTTAGATTCAAGAGGGACATGTGCAGGCTTGTTACCTGGGTATATTTTGTGATGCTGAGGTTTGGGGTATAAATGATCCTGTCACCCAGGTAGTCAGCATAGTATTCAATAGCTGGTTTTTCAACCCTTTGTCCCCCTGTCTCCCTCCCAGCTCTAGTAGTCGTCAGTGTCTACTTCTGCCATCTTTATGTCCATGTGTAATCAATGTTTACCTGCCACTTATAAGTGAGAAAATGTGGTATTTGGCTTTCTGTTCCTGTGTTCATTTGCTTAGGATAATGGTACTGGCACATTTTGGCTCACTCTAAGGAGTTGCTTTCTAACATACCTGCTCAAGAGAAAAACTACGCAGTCTCTCAAGGTAGTAAGTTTCTGACCACTGCAAGTAAAGAAGCACAGGGTAAGACAGTGGGAGAGTGAAGTGGAATGTGAAATGGTGGATGTGGGGTAGGTTTAAATATCTCCTGTAATCACTAAATTAAAACAAACATTGCATTTCATTCTGACTAATGTTTTAGTGACCAAACTTATATTGGGAAAGTTGTATCTCAGGGTTGACTCAGTGAAACTAAATTAGGAAGTGTTATAATAATTTTCCATCTCACGTGGTTCTTACATTGAAATTACAGACATGCATTCACAGCACCACAAATTTCTGTTTTTCCTATAAGCAGGTTGACTCTAGTTTATTATACATTTTTTCAAGTTTTCCTCCAACTAAATTATTAATCTTTGACTGATGGTGATGTCACTCCCAGGATTCTCTACAAAAAATAAAACCCTCAAATAAAAATGCCACCAATGAGTTCCACCATGTAGTTTCTCATGCTAATATCCATATTTGATTCTAATTAACTGCATGAAAGCTATTCAGAATTTCATAATTTCAAATGTTGCCTATCCAGGTGATTTTTTTCATAGCTATATGAGAATAAAAAGATTCCATAGCTTTTGATTTCTTGCACATAAACCCTCATTATAATTTCTTCTTAGGAAATTGTTGGAATTTGCTCAACACTAAAAAGAATTAATTGCCTAATGTATTAAAGCAATTAAACAAATCATTTCATCACATGAATAACAATGAGTACAGTTTCTGGTTAACATAGAAAATAAAAGCAAAGGAAGGGAAGAGAAAAAAGAAGCTAATAATGATAGATGCTCAGTTGTATATTAGTGTCCAACATACATATGGCAAACAAAGATAAACAGAAACTATCTCACTTCACTGAAGTCAAACAATTAATAAATACCGATGCAATACAGCACAAAATTCATGTGTGCCTAACTCTAAAACACATTCAAATCTCTTGCAGTTATGCAACATATGCCTTCAATTTTAGCTTGATATAGACATAGACACCGTGAAAGTGGAATTACATACTACCAGAGAAGATTTTCCTCTACAAGGAAAACTCTGAGGTTAAGTAGTTGGCACAAATGTCCTTCCATATTCTCCTTAAAAAAAAAAAAAAAAAAAAAAAAAAAAACAAGCAGTTTAACGTATTTAAAAATTTACTTAAACATGACACTCTTAAAAAAATGGCTTAAAGGAAAGAAGACACATCCTAGCTCAAGATAGAAGACCGTCCCGTTACATTTTTTAGCTGTCTTGATGTGCTTAAAGTCTCAAATGTGCAGAATGCATTAACATGGTGAATTAAAACATGAAAAAGTTGGTTCATGGGGTCGCTGCATAAAAACACTGTAGTGACAACTCTGAATTCAAATGCAAGGTTAGCTTAAAATTAACATGTTTTTCAACTGCTTTTGGTGTCGCAGGAAACATATTTCCTTTCCCTGTCCTTCACTCTCCACTTTTTGAAAACTGAATGGTAATTATATTACATTGAGTTGTGGTGGACTTTCTAGTTCAAATATTTGAAGATGTCTAAGAAAACTAAGCACGTTATTATACTACCATTTAATTATCCAATGATATTAGGTATTAGCCAATATTCTTCAAGCCAAATAATATTGTTAATAATTTATTCCTGGATTACCTATTCTCCCTTCATTCATTTATTCAATCAACAGTTCCCTCATTCAATAAATATTTATTGAAGGCTTACTACTCCAGACACTTTCCTAGATGTTAAGGAGATATCAGTTTATGGGATAAGACATTCTACTCAGGGGGAAGAGTTCATGAACATTGAACATGATAGCTAAATAATATGGTATGCTAGAAAGGAGTAAGTGCTAATAAAAACAAATAAATCAGAATAAGGAGGATCTGGTACTTGTGGGGATCAGGGTAGTCTTATTTCAGCAAAGACTTGAAAACAATGAAGTTAGCTATGACAATAGCAAGGGATGCATATTCCAGGCAGACATGTTATGGCAGAGACTCTAAAAGAAGGGCATGGTTAATGTCTTGAAGTAGTCAATCACAGATTTCTGGATGATTAGCAAAAAACTTAATTTCTTACATTCAGTAATAGACTTGCACATGATATGGACAGATTGCAAAGAGAATTAAACAACCTCCTTTTCTTGATTACTGAATTGAGATAATATAAGACAAAACTACTCTAAGTTTTAACAAAGAATTAGGCTTGGGTTATTAACTTTAAAGGAGACAACCAACTGCTGTGTTCTTGTAGGATATTTTATTTTCTTTAGAAACCACTCCTGATACATCTCCACCTCAGAATATCTGCAAGCATTCTGTGTGACACTTTCCCCATATCTTGACAGTCTGATGTATTTTTCTTTCCTGAATAGTATTTTGTCTATTATAAGTAAGTGATTAAAAACCCTGCAATTACATGCAAAAGTAGCCATGAAGATTATTTATTCATCCAATGAATATTTGCCATTCATTTATAAAGTGATACAGTGCATGCTACAAGTTTACGAGTATTACAGAAAAGTGTAACATGTTTTATCTGCCCTTGAAGGCATTAAGCTGGAGGGGGAACAAAAGGCACATACACAAATAACAATAACTATAAATTAGATCAAACTGCCTTCTCTGAAAGCCCACTTACTTACAGCAACATAGACAGCTTTCTAAGGGAGGTAATGATCTGGACCTTGAAGGAAAAGTAGTATGTGGAAGTGCAGAGATACGACAAGATATTTAAGGCAACAACCACAAAAACATATGATGGACAAAATTCCAGAGTAAGGGCACTGCACAAAATGTTTGAGACACGTGTGATGAGCAAGAAGATTTTTTTATAAACTACTGTAGATACTAACATCTTGTGTAGTTTTGGATGAGAAAAACATTCATAGTATTTTATTCCAAAACATTTTCCTCAAGTTTAAAATGAAAGCCATGCATTATTATTGACGCTTGATATTTCTTTCTTTTTTTTTTTTTTAATTGAGATATGGTCTCGCTCTGTCACCCAGACTGGAGTGCAGTGGTGCAATCTCGGCTCACTGCAACCTCCACCTCCTTGGCTCAAGCAATCCTCTCACCTCAGCCTCTGGTGTAGGTGGGACTACAGGCATGTGCCACCACGCCCATCTAATTTTTGTATTTGTAGTAGAGACAGCTTTTCACCATGCTGCCCAGGCGGGTCTCAGACTCTTGGCCTTAAGTGATTTGCCCACCTCAGCTTCCCAAAGTGCTCGGATTATAGGCATGAGCCACCACACACAGCTGATACTTGACATTTCTAATAGATGTTAAGTATTCCAAAGAAATAATGATTCCCACTTAAACAATTTTTATTCATAAAGAGGCCCTTAGAGGATATGTTCATATAGGCTATAAAGATGGTAACAGAGACACTGCAAGTTTAGATTTCATAAGATAGTTTGGATTTTTTAATTATAGTCGGTAAAAAAGTACTACACTTTATAATCCAAATCCAGTTATTGGGGCCAAAATTGAGCCAAAGAATTAATATGTACCATGTCAGAAACAAAAAGTATCTAAGCTCTTACTTATTTGAGTGGAGGTAGAAAAAGTAATAATAATAAGTAATAAGGAAAAAACAATAATAAAAACAGTAGGAGCTTTCATCTGCCAGGTCACATTGGATATTATTATATATTACTTTTTTATTTGTGAAAATTAAATCAGTACAACCACTCAAAATGAAGAAACTACATATGCTACCCGTAAGAAATGAATGCAGGACTCCCAACATTTCTGGATTTAATTGTAAGGTCTCAAACTTAATACTGTCTGAATGTGAAATCCCTTCCCTTTCTTAGGAAAACTTCCAGGTTCTCAAAGATAAAATCCTTTCTAACGTCCTTCAGCTTCCACACAAAAACTTATCGACAAGGATTTTGATAAAATAATGTAGATACAAGACATGTTACACAGTTTTCCATGAGAAAAAAACTCTTAGCATTTTGTTCCAAAATATTTTCCTGAAGGTTAAAATCAAAGCCATACATTATTACTGATCCTTGATATTTCTAATAGGTGTTAAGCATTCCAGAGAAATAATGATTCATGTGTTTCATTTATAATGATTATTAAATCACTAGATGAATGAATGAAAATATAATTAATAGCTAGGTTGATTGTTGGATGGATAAACAAGTGATTGCATGAACTGATGAGTCAAAGGAAGAATACTACCAGAAGCCATTTTTTGTTTTTTTTATTTTGTTTATATTTATATTATATATAATAGTTGTACATATTTTGGGGGGTACATGTGATATTTTGACGCATGTATAGAATGTATGGTGATTAGATTATGCTAATCAGGATATCCATTATCTCAAATATTTATCTTTTCTTTGTGTTGAAAACATTACAATTCTTCCAGCCATTTTGAAATATACAATAAATTATTGTTAACTATATTTTCCCTACTTTAATAATGAATACTAAAACCTATTTCTATCTAACTGCATATTTTTTTAATTTCAACTTATATTTTATTTTATGTTCAGAGGGGGACATATGCAGGTTACCTGGGTATATTGTATGATGTGATGCTGAGATTTGGGGTATGAATGGCCCCATCAACCAGGTAATGAGCATAGTACCCAACAGTTAGTTTTTCAGCACTGGCCCCCTACTTTCCTCCCTCCTCTAGCAGGCATCAGTCTACTGTTGCCAGTTTTATGTCCATGTGTACCCAATGTTTAGCTCCCACTTACAAGTCAGAACATGCAGTATTTAGTTTTCCAAGAGCAGTATATTTTGCTTAATGTAAAATATAATTCAGAACTTCAAGTCAATATAGGAGATACAAGGCAAACAACGACTCTTGTGAAAAGAAGTTTCATGGTTAAGTCAGTTTGCAAGAGTTAGAATATGGGCCTCAGGTAAATTCAGGCCCAGTGAAGAGTGCAAAGTATTGGGTGAAAGCCAACTATTTGTCAGTAAGGGAGTATTAATCTTAAGGAATGTATAATTATCACAAGGAGTTATAATTAACATACGGAATAATCAGAAAATGAGAATTTAGTTGAACTGTGTGACTATGATTATTAATATTTTGTGTATATATAGTATACATTTAATGTATCCACATCTTTATATATTTATTAAATGTGTATTTATGTATAGCCACGTATTGGCGTGTGTAGTGTGTATAAACATGTATTCATATTAGAGAAATAATTTTATACTGTTACTTTCAGTTAAATATTTCAAAATAGTAGAAATAATAGGGTGAATTAAACAATTTAAATTGTCAGTTTCAAGAAAAGTTTACATAAATTTCAAATATATTAAATTTTATACAGTGGCTGTGTGCCAATTGTGAGCCTATGGATGATTTTGTTCTTTAATGATTTTCTCTTTTATTTTATTTTATTTATTTTATCTGTGTTATCCACGCATCACACATTTAATCAAGATAAAATAACTGAATTTTATTTTATTTTCATTAGTAGAGTTTTCTTCTTTTTCTTCTTCTTCTCCTTCTCCTTCTCCTTCTCCGCCTTCTTCTTCTTCTTCTCCTTCTTCTTTTTTTGGTGGTGGGGACAGGGTCTCGCGTCTCGCTCTGTCGCCCAGGCTGGAGTGCAATGGTTCAATCTAAGCTCACTACAACCTCTGCCTCGCTGGTTCAAGCGATTCTTGTGCCTCAGCCTCCAGAGTAGCTGGGATTACAAGCACATACAACCACGCCTGGCTAATGTTTGTAATTTTAATAGAGACAGGGTTTCGCCATGTTGACCAGGCTCGTCTCAAACTCCCGGGCTCAAGTGATCCACCCACCCCAGCCAACCAAAGTGCTCAGATTACAGGCATGAGCCACTGCAACCAACCTTAATAGAGATTTTGTAACCAAGTTGTTACTTCCAGTCTCCCAAAACACTGATATTTTGTACATTTTTGTGTCTTTAAAATATATAATACAAGCAAGATTTTCTTGTACATTTTCTGTCACAGTTGCCTCTTCTCTGTTTTTCCAATAACCAGCAATATTTTCTATTACTAAATATTTAAGGTAAATTTGAATTCATGTGTCATTCTCTCCACTTACAAATTTACTTTATGAAACCATTGAAAACCATTTCAAGAAATTCCCCAGATGAAAATATTATATAGCGGATTACTAGTAAAGTAAGGGAAGTCATGAAGTATTACTAAAAGATTCCTTTTTAGATTTTGGGAGGCAACAGAAATACACACACACACATACACACACACATTTGTAATTTACAATTATTCTGAATAACTGGAAATTGTAATTACATACATAATACCAAGATCAAAATCCTTGTCTAAAGAGAGCAATTATGTGGTACTATCATATTTAACATAGTGTGCTATCCCAGCAAATTAAATAGAGAACATATTTTTTTGTCTAAATCTCTAGTTACTCTTCATTCTTTTCACTTCAGCAGGTTTCTCAAAGTACATTCTAAATCTCAACCATATTGAAATTATTTGAGATGTTTGCAAAAAGTACATGTTATTGACCCTGGCATATGTCCCATTGAATAAGAATCTCTAGGCTTTGGAAATGGGATTCTCACTGTCCTAGAAGTTCGACAAACATAGCTCCATCTTCCTGTGTGCACATAGATACTGCTGAACGAATCCTAATCCAATCATTTCTCCAGTAAGCTGGCCCCTATAGACCCCTGCAGTTTAGTAATTTAGACTCCATTTTTAGATCCATTGAGTTCTCGATTAAAATATCTTTGCAACAAAGAAGGGTAGACATGACATTTGTGTCTACATTATCTTTTTTAAATTTCCAATACATTGTCCCTATTTGACCATCACAATTCCCTCCAAGTGAAGTAGGAGAAATATTATTAATGTTTCTTGGTTTGCAGAGAAAAAGTAAAAAAGTTTTAGTGGATTTAAGAAACATTCCCGGGTCACACAGTGGGTTAGACTGCAAAGCCAAGCCTTAAACCAAGGACTAGTTTTATCCAAAAACAAAGCAATAAGTAAATATTTAAAGGGGTTTATGAAGAAATAGGCAAAATAAACAAATGCTCTCTGCTTTCAGAATGCTCTATGGTTTTAGGACTTACAACTATTAAGGTATTTAAGATGTATTTTATAATATTTAATATCTATTAATACTTAATGATAAAATATTATCATTTGATTTTTAAAGTCTTTGAGAACTCTAATTATATTTTGTAACTTAATGCTTTTGTGTGATTCACAATCACATACTTTTAAAACATGGCTCCAAATTCTATGAAATACCTTTCACTGAAAGATAGGGTAGCTGTTCTCTTGAATATAGGCTCTGTGATAGATCAATAGTATATGAACGAAGTGGCACTGTGCTAATTTCTAAGCTCAAGTCTTAAGAAGTTAGCAGCTTCTATCTCTCTTGGGGTACTTCATCTTGGAATGCAAATACCAGGCCATGGAGAAGCCCAAACTCTCCCTTGGAAAGGCAGTGATGGCCACCACCAATTTGCCAGCCATATGATTGAGCCATGTTGGAACTGGGTAGTCAGTCTCTTCAAAGCTGCCCCAGTTTATATCACATTCTGCAGAGACAAACTGACCCTGGCAAGCCCTGCCCAAATTTCAAATTTGCGAGCAAAATAAATGGTGATGTTTTTTTCTGCCGCTAAGTTCTGGGATTTGTTGTTATGCCGCAGTAGATAATCAAAACAGATTTGAGTTCCTTGAAGTAAGGTACTGCTGTAATGACAACGTTAAGCATGTGGCACTGGTTCTGGGACCAGGTGGCAGGAAGGAGATAGATTAATTGAGAATATTGTTAGTAAAAACTTAATGGTCCTCAGGGATAGTGTTGTTAGTGAAAGAGCAAAGGATTTGCAGAAGCTGTTGGTGAGATCTCACAGTAAAGTAACTACAACAAGGAAAATATTATTGGAAATTAGATGAAAGGAAACCTGTGTATATACTGGTGAGAATTTTGACCATGACACCTTTGAGTCATGTAGAAAAAAAGAAAATGCCCCTAGTGAATTTGATGATTTAATTAAAGAGATTCAAGGAAGAGGCAGAATATTAGATTACTATATAGCTTTTTCTCAATACCTAAACAAAATGTGAATAGAGATAAATCAGTTAAAGAAGAAACTTTTTCTGAAATTAGGACTGTTTGAGGTCTTTTTGTTCTGTTTTGTTGTTGTTTTGTTTTGTTTTGTTTGAGATTGAGTTTTGCTCTTGTTGTCCAGGCTGGAGTGCAATGGCATGACCTTGGCTCACTGCAACTTCTGCCCTCTGGATTCAAGGGATCCTCCTATCTCAGCCTCCAAAGTAGCTGGGATTACAGGTGCATGCCACCACGCCTGGCTTATTTTTGTGTTATTGGTACAGACAGGGTTTCTCCATGTTGGCCAGGCTGTTCTTGAACTCCTGACCTCAAGTGATCCGCCCACCTCGGCTTCCCAATGTTTGAGTTTGAAAATATATATTTTTTGATTCTCAGCTTCTCCAGAGAAAAATAATTCTCAAATTAAGAAAGAGTCTCAGTTCATAGATCAAATACATAATGGGGCTATATGATCTTTTGTTGTTAATATCTCAGAAAGATCTGAGGTTTTTTTACTAGAACTTTCAAAGAAATAGAAGGTCCTCTGAGGAGCTTAATCCATTTATGCTGGGGGTTGCAATTTCCTGGGTGTGAAAAATCTGACTTTGGTGACGCCATTGAGCAGTAGGATATAACGAACTCCCACATGCTTAGCATTCCAAAAATGGAACATGAGGCATAAATGGGCTAAGGATAGGGTATGTCTCATAGACCCTCTACTAAGAATCGTAACAGCATTGACCACAGCAGATTCACGAGGTGTCCAAAGTCAAGAAGAGCTCACCCTGAAGAGATTTGTGAGTGTGATTGCTGTCTAATGAAATGAATTACAAATTGATTTGTAAGAAACTTACAAAATATTTAAAGAAAGCATATTGGCTTTTACAAAAAAGACAGTAAACAATGAAAAAATGCTGCCAGACTCCCAAACATTTACAGGCAGCATGCAGATTGAGAAGACATCTCAGTTACAGACACAGATAATTTATTTTTTAAAAAGAAGAAAGAAGGAGGAAGAAGGAGGAAGAGGAGGAGGAGGAAGAAGAGGAAGAGGAAGAGAAGGAAAAGGAGAAGGAAAGTAATAGTAGTAGTATAGCAGTAGTAGGAGGAGGAAGAGGGGATGGAGAAGGGGAGGATGGGAACAGAACCAAGAGCCATGTGTCTAGAGTCAAAAGTCTAGGAGAATCAGTTCTCTGAAACAGTACTGGATACTCATCAAGGAACTAGTAACATGTGCCAAAATGATTCCAAGAATCACTATTTACCAGTAACTGCCATATGACTTCCACTTTCTCTGTTCTTGAGTAATGCTGTCTACAGAAATTATCCTTATTCTATTCCCCCATTGTATACTGGGTCAGCTCGAGGATGATGCTCTAATGATTTAAAATCTCAGAGTGTTTTTAGTAGGAATGCAAATATTTTGTGGCCAAAGGTCAACTGTGTTTGTTTTAAATCATGACATTAATTATTTAATACTCCTCTCATTGAGTTTCTTCCCCTGGATATGGGCTCTCTTACTGAATAAGTAATTGAAGATGACAGATGCAACGAATGTTGTGTCAATATCAGAGCTGCTTGGACCTTAAGAAAATGGCAGGTTTGACTCTCTATCACTCTTTGGATTGTTAGTCTTGGAACACCAATACCATGAAACATGGACACCATGAAACACAGATACCAACACACCCCCCACCCCAACCCAAGGAAACGTTTATGGAGGAGAACCAAAACAAACCTCAGTTTCCCAGATGTTTGAGTGAGCCACATGGGTCTTCCAGCCTGTGTAAACCCACCCCAGTTGACACTGTCTAGATGAGAAATGGTCTGACCCTGTTTGGCCTTACCCATACTATACATTTTTGAACAAATTAATTGGTTACTATTATTTTAAACCACTAAGTTTGGGGTTAATTTGTTATGAGATAAAATATATTTGGAAGAAAATTTTATTTATTTATTTATTTATTTATTTATTTATTTATTTATCTACTGAGACAGAGTCTCACTCAGTCGCCCAAGCTGGAGTGCAGTGGCGCAATCTCGGGTCACTGCAACCTCTGTCTCCTGGGTTCAAGTGATTCTCCTGCCTCAGCCTCCCAGTAGCTGGGATTACAGGTGCCCACCACCATGCCCAGCTAATTTTTTTGAATTTTTAGTAGAGACAGGGCTTCACCATGTTGACCAGGCTGGTCTCGAGCCCGTGACCTTAAATGATTCTCCCGCCTCAGCCTCTTAAAGTGCTGGGATTACAGGCATGAGCCACCGCATCTGGCAAGGAACAGAATTTTAACAGCCTCTCTTCTAAACTTGAAATGTCTAGAAATATTTAAGTAGAATCTCTAAAATAGAGGCTAAAACTAAAATACTTTTAGCAGATAATATTGACTATTTGTCATATTAGTTATGTATAGTGTAAACATAATTACATGAGGCAGTATAAGAAACATCTAGCAAGTCACCTGATATATTAACATTAAACAAATAAAAATAACTCAAAATGTGGGTTAAAATTAATTATAAATATCAAACAAAGACGAGTCATCATTGTATTTGTAAGGTTTGTTTTCAAGAAGATGCAAAAACAGAGGGAAGACATAAACAATGAATTTGAAGTAATTGTGTTTTCCAAAAGAGTATCAATTTGCAGATCTATAATTTACTGAAAATTATTTTCCTCAAAGTCACATGACACACAAATACACCCATATCATCACATGACATTGATTTTCTTATAACATTTCACATGATACATATATAAATATGTGTGTATAATTTAAAATTAATTATGATACTTTTAAAATTAAGAAGAATACCAATATTTCTGATCTGGCTTAGACAATATTTGATCAGAAAAACAAAAGCATGAGTGTCCACAGAAGAAATAACTGCCAATTTCAGTGTTTCAAACACAATGTTGCATGGGTATTATAAATAACTTTTCTGCAAGTTATAAATAGAGACCATCTTTACAGTATAAACAGTCTTTCTGTTTGATTTAGGAGTAAATTGAAGCTTTAGATACATATTCAAAATGCATTTCCCAGAAGATTTCTGGTTTTATAGTCTTTGATGATAACTAATTCTGGTACATGTGCATTTTGTGTTTTTGGCTATTGGAAAAGGAAGTTCATCCACATGATCCTTTGAGTTGCAAACAATCCCTAGAGCTAAAGACCTCCCTTAATGGTAGGCAGAGTATAAACCCTGTCTGAATATTAGGATCACCTGGGAAGCTTCAAAAAATACAAAAGTATGAGTTCCACACTAAAACAAATAAGAATACAGTGGTGACACCTGGGCACTAGCAAGCTTTAACAGCATCTTCCTGTGGGTTATGTACTGCATATTCCATTTGTATAACATTTTTATAATGGCAAAATTAGGCCAGGTGCAGTGGCTCATGTCTGTAATCCCAGGACTTTGGGAGGCCGAGGTGGGTGGATCACCTAAGTTCAGGAGTTAAAGACCAGCCCGGGCAATATACTGAGACTCTGTCTCTACAAAAAATAAAACTAGCTGGGTGTGGTGGCACATGCTTGTAGTCTCAGCTACTCGGGAGGCTGAGGTGGGAGGATCACTTGAACCTACAGGTGTTGAGGCTACAGTGAGCTGAGATTGAGCCACTGCACTTCAGCCTGGACAACAGAGCAAGACTTTGTCTCAAAAAATAAGTAAAAAGAAAAGGATAAAATTATAAAAATTGAAAATAGATTAGTGGTTGCCATGAACTAAAGACGGGAGGTGAGGCTCCGGAGGTAGGCAGATATGGTGGGATCCTGGTGGTGGTGGACTTCCTCTGGGCATTGCCCGTGGTGGTGTATACATAAACTTACACATGTGGTAAAATTGCACAGAACTAACCACAAACACATATACTCGCAATGCATACAAGGACAATTGGGGCTATCTGAATAAACTGGGTAGACTGAATCCATGTGAATATTCTGGTTATAGTATTGTACTATATAGTTTTGTAAGATTGTCACCATTGGAAAAACAACTATGTAAAGGATAAATAGAGTCTCTCTGTATTATTTCTTAAAACTGCATGCAAACATTGAAAATAGAGAGTCTAAGTAAAAAACAAAACTTCCTGATGACTATTACCTCCCTAAGATTGGAAAACCAAATACCATTTTCAAAACTGTTAACAGAAGTTTCCAGATAGGGAAGGAACTGGTCCAGGTCAATGGTTTGCAACTAGTGGACTACACTGCAGTATGAGTGTTGCTTAGATATTCGTGAAAAATTCAAATTCTCAGGCCCCAAACAAGACCTACTGAATTAGGAACTCTGAAGATGGCACCAAGTAATCTGTAATAGTCCTTCCAGGTGAGCGTGCTACATGCTAAACTTTCAGAGACATTAGCTTAGGGTTTTGTTTTGTGATAACTATTTCATATGAATAAATAGTATTAAATGTGTATTATATATGAATAGAGCATTGTTACTTATAGCCAATGACTACTGGAGTCAGCATCACCTAGAGGCTTTTTAGAAATGTAGAATCTGCACCCCAAACTCAGGGAATCCCAATCTGTGTTTTAACAAGATCACCAGGTAATTCATAGGCATATAAAGGCTTGAGAAGCAGTGCCTTAGAGTATTTGCTGAACAACTATTATATGCAGTCCATCAAAATGCAGCTGTGCTTCTGGTGAAAATAAGAGCATTTGGACACCAACTTCCTGCTGGGGCAGGGATGTTAAACAAATTGCCCTCAATCACACATCTCATAAGGAGGCCACCCAGGATTTCAGCTTGCATAGGATGTAAAAGAACAACAGGAAAGAGTCTTCTAGCCTGGATTCCTCCAGAGCCTATGTTCATAGCACTGTGCAAAACTGCCCAGGCTTTCTTTGTCTATTCGGCCAGCTCCAGTGGGCCAGTTCTGGTTTCCAAGCATTTACAGCAGGGAATGTCATGAATTGCATACACACGTGCCAGGGTCAGAATAGATACCAGTATTCACTCAGACCGTTCTGACCATATTACTGTCTGAACACTAAGCTCATAACAGGAACTTCAAATCTACCACCCTAGGATTTTCTGGCTTCAGGATAGCAGAAAGTCTGCATGTTCTCTTCCTCCTTCGCAAAGCATCCCATTGATCCTCTCATGTAAATCACAGGGCAAGACTCCAAGTCTACAGAATGCACACTAACCGTAAAATAATACTGTTGGGAGCTAGAGTTGAATGGGAAATCTCTGATTGTCCTGGATAGGATTTTCTTCATATTTATCTTCCAAACTTCAATTCTGTAGAAGTGTGCAGGCAGAATCAAGCGTTACCTGGTTGCACAGTTGACAGCATAAAAAATCATTTATCATTTTTATATCTAGGGTTTAACTTCAGGAAAATAGCACAATTCACATAGAGTAGATAGATTTCAAGGGAAGGGTAGTTTTTAATTCTTTTGTTGAATAAGTAGGGAGGCATGACTGGAAAATGTTTCAAAGCTGTTAGGGGATAGGTGAGGATTCTGTATAATTTCATAGATCTTTACGTGAAGTGATAAATAAATAAGGTTATACCTGTAAGAGCAAAATAAATGGCTAATGGAGCAAGGCATACATTCATTAATAATAGTTAACAATCGCAACTAATGTTATTGAACATGATATGCTAGTTTCTCTGATAGCCTTGGATATTCAAAGATAAATAATTTAGGATGAGAAATACATATGAATCGAATGAATTAATATGTCTACTAAAATTACTTGACAATTGCAATGGGCCAGGCATAGTGAAATGTGCAAAATATGGCTTCTCTACTTTAAATCACATGACATTCCTATGATATTGATATTATCATTCATATTCCATGAAGCAGGAAACTGAAACTCAGAAACAGGAAATGACTCTCCCATAGTCACATAGCAAGTTGGTGGCCCAGTCAAAACTCCAACAAAGATCTCTCTGCCCAAAACTGTTTTCTTCAATGAAAGAAGTGAGAAGGGGAATCGAAAATGAATAGAAGGAGGTCAGAAGGAGTTAGCTGAGAAAGGAGTAGATTTTAGACTCAAATCAGAGTTCTTCAGTACTTGTCCTCTCTTCCACAGATGATTTCAAATGTACTCAGTTTCCCGTAGGAAAACTAAGATTAATTACTACCATCTATATGAACTGTTAACTATTCATATTCAATTCCTGATGCAACATGGTAACCATTTTACATGCCAGCAAAACTGTCAGATTAATGTTACTGTACATTTTAGTTCATCTCAATGCTCAAGTACACTAGAGATTCTCTGTCATCCTAGTCTCTCATATCATGAGTTATTGAAGGATTTAGGGTTATGTAAAGGGTGGCATGATGTAGACAAAGAAATGAACTCAAATTAGTTCTCAGTTTTCCAATGTTCATTTTAATGTACAGAAATATTTTACCCCCCTTCCCTTTAGGATATAAATATAGATACAGATATACAAATACCCCATCATGTAAAAGTTTAAAAAATAATTTCCATGTGATGTTGGAGAATTAATGAGCTAACATTTGTAAATCGTTCAGAGCATTATTGCAATTGTAAACCTGGAGTGGTTTGGTCAAGCTTCCTACTGCTGTCTTAGGAAAATGATTTTCTATCTAATTTTATCTTATTTTCTAAACTTGAAAAATGGGTCTAATAATCCCTGCCCTTTACATACCTCAGAGAGATGTTTCAAGAATTAATGAAATATGTGTAAAGAGCTGTAAACTGGATAAATTAAGACATCATTGCCATTAGTCTATTGAATTCTTCAAATAAAATTTTCAGTAGAACTACGACCCTTCTGACCTTTGCCAATAAGGCAGACATGAAAATGTAGTAATAATATAATTTTAAAAGAGGTCTTCACTGTTTAAATTAAGTGCATAAATCAAATTTCTAAATCTCAAACTTATCTGAGAAACTATGCAATTTTTCTAGAAAAAAATAATGAATGCATGGCAGGATCAATAAATCAATAAAGAGATGATCTTCAAATACTTTAGGCTGACATTTCAGTTTGTCCCCTAAACCCCAGATGAGATTATTGTCATTATAGCCATGATTTCAAAGATTTAATAAATAGACAATTATGGTTTGTGTCTCCTGAAATTCATCAAAATTAGTTGAGATACTCATTCAGCTTTACCCCACATCTGTTGCTTGGTTGTGTCTGGGTAAAATGCCAGTTGATTTAATTTATCATTTTTGTTCCAGATGTTTTGGCATCACATAGTTATAGATATACAATTGTATTCAAAAATGCTCTTAGATTAATGTAAGAGAGTTCTAGTATTTTCTCCCCTCTGGGCTTTAACTACAGTAAGAAAAGAAATAACTTTATTGTTTTAAAATATGAAACTAAATGAAAATTTCATCTACCTCAACACAGTACAATAATAGACCCGTAGAAATTTTTCAAATTAGTTGCTGTTCTTTCAGAAATCCAAGGCTGATTCCGTGGTAGAAGAGAAAGGATAAGGCAGACAGAAATGATGAACAAAATAACAAACTAAATCTAGATACCTGCCATGACTCCATGTGATACTGAATTGAAAATAGTCTATTGATATAGAAAGAAAGATCTGTGAACACTTTAATTCCACCAGGTGCTAGCTCAGTGACCTTGAGGTAACCATTTCCTCTCTGCATATTTCAATTTTATTTATTTATTTACTTAATTTTTTATTTTAATAGCTTTAGGTTTACAGGTGGTTTGGGGTTACATATATGAATTGTGGAGTGGTGAAGTCTAAGATTTTAGTGCAACCATCACCCAAGTAGTGTACATTGTACCCAATAGGTAGTGTTTTGTTCTTCACCTCCCTCCCACCCTACCCCCTTCTGAGTTTCCAATGTGTATTATACCAGTCTAAATACCTTTGCATGCCCATAGCTTAGCTGCCACTTATAAGTGAGAACATGTGGGTATTTGGTTTTCAATTCCTGAGTTACTTCACTTAGAATAATGGCCCCCAGTTCCATCCAAATTGCTGCAAAAGATATTTCTTTTTTATGGCTGAGTAGTATTCCATGGTATACATACATATGCTACATTTTCTTTATCCATTCATTGTTTGATGGACACTTATGTTGATTCTATATCCTAGCAACTGTGAATCGCACTGTGATAAACATACACATGCAGGTGCCTTTTTGATATAGTGACTTCTTTTCCCTTGGGTAGATACCCAGCATGGGATTGCTGGATCAAATGGTAGATCTACTTTAATTCTTTGAGAAATCTCCATATTGTTTTCCATAGACGTTATACTAGTTTACATTCCCACCAGCAGTGTATAAGCATTCCTTTTCATCACCTCCACACTGTCTATTTCTGTTTGTTTGTTTGTTTGTTTGTTTTTAACTTTTTAATAATGACCATTCTGGCTGAAGTAAGGTAGTATCTCATTTCTGGTTTTACTTTGATCTCAATTTTATAAAATGGAGATAACATAACCTACCTACTTCAGTATCTATTCATCGTAATATTATGTGTTAGGAAATTATGCTAAAAAAGTTAATACTCGTTTGTTCTGTGCAAGTTACTTATGTTGTGAAGAGGAGCTTCAGGCCAAGTTTATACTGGCTTTTTAAAATGCAGGACTAACCTTTGAGCTGCAAGCATACTTCACTGTTGGGATCCACGTACGTGCTTTGGATAAAACAATCTGCAGCAAAAGGAGAGAATGGGCATTCTATGCAGCAAGCCATCAGACATCTTGCTCTCTTGAAGAGTATGGAAATATTCATATTCTAAATGATATTTCTTCTGCTATGCTGACACTACCCCAGGTGTCTACCAAAATGATTTCCGCATGACTTGTGTGTGTGTGCGACACTATTCATACCATTTCTAAGTAAAATAATCACTCTACAAAAGTGATGGTGATTTTCAGTGTAAGCAACATAAGCTATGATTGTTAGCATTGTCACAGTTTGTATCACTAGAATCAATCTGATGTATATCCGTGCTTGCAAAATGAATATTAGTTAAGCACATTCTAATTATGAATTCATGAAAAGTCTTAGGGTTGAAGAATTACTTGGCACCATCTTAGCTGAATGATCTTCAGGAAACAAGTCAGCTGTCTGAGTTCTGGCTATATCACCTGAAACGCAGGATAATAATACCAGCCATGGACCATTTTATATAGTTGTTTTGAGGCTTCGCTGTAGTAAAGAATAAAGAATCAGTGTGCAATGTATAGGATATCATAATGCAAATGTTAAGAATTCCTGTTACTAACATTAAAAAAGTAGGGAGGTCAAAGTTATTCTTCTCTGGCAAGGACCCTCATTCATGACAAAATTTTTCAAAATGTCAGTCACCTTGCTAGGTTCATTGAGATTTAGGGTTTTGTCCTCAATTTGGTAGGAACAGAAATTTTAGTCTATCAGCACATTCCTAAAGTGAATGTTGCTTCAGCACAGACATGCATTAGCCAAGTTCTAAGAAGACAGTCACTTAACAATAAAGCTAATTTGTTAAGTTACAATAAAAAATAATATGTCTGCCAAAAGCTTTGGAGTGTGGCATATCGGTAAGGCAGAAGGTCTGCCTCAAAGCCTGGCTCCATCAATTATTTGCTGCAAAGTCTTTAGAACTCAGAGAGATACAATAGCTGCCCAATTTTCTCCTTCCTACAGTGTTGATAATAGAATTCCCCACAACATGGGGCAGTTTTGTAAAGTACTTGGGTGATTCTCTTCAAAGTGCTTTGTGTCAAACACTGAGAAAATAAGGCTCAAGAAATGGTGGAATGGTAGCTGTTATTATTATGGTTGTTATTATTGTTATTTAAGTAAGCATATATTGTTGCAACTGTTTCTAAAATTGAATAAAATAATCACCAAGTGATTTGAAAAACATGGAGTTAAAGCCATGAGGTTAAGATGTGTAATTTAAATTTTAGTGGCCTTATAATTGATAATCTCCTCTAGTTCCAGAGGGTTGGTTCCCGGAAGAGCACTTCAGGCTCTCTCTCTGTGTCTCTCCCTTTCTCTCTCTCTCTCTCTCTCTCTCTCTCTCTCTCTCTCTCTCTCTCTCTCTCTCCCTTTCTCTCTCTCTCTCTCTCTCTCCCTTTCTCTCTCTCTCTCTCTCTCTCTCTCTCTCCCTCTCCCTCTCTCTCTCGCAGTGCCTGGATGAATTTCCCCAGTTTCTATCTGTGTGACCCTATTAATTGTTCTGAAAGGGTAATACAAAGGAGTTATCAATGGGCGAGTCTTGATCTGCCCTGGGAACAATTTTGTCTCTTGAGAAGGCAACCTTATTTGGTGAGACCCTGAAAGTGTAAATTATAATGCCAATGTATTTCCTTTGGGGTTACCTTCATTTTCACTCTGCTCTTAACAATGATCTGCATTTTTTGAGTGCTTACTAATTACTCCATACCAAGAATCCTAATAAAGAAATTATAAGCATTACTTCTTTGAATAGCCAACCAACGTTTTACAGGTAATAAGCTGTTTCCATCAATGTTATATTCAAGATATATTAACAGTAACAATCCTTATTGTTACTATATCTCAAACTAATTACCTCAAGCTAATTGAGAAAATAAATAACTTTCTAAGGCATCAGTTCTCAAACAATTTGGTCTCAGGGTCACTTCACACACTTAAAAATTAATGAAGAACCCCAAAACCCTTTATGCATTAAAATTTTGTTATTGGGTTGTACTTCTCAATATTTACCATATTGTAAGTTGAACACACACACACACAAGAATATAGAAGCACAGATTCCATTGGCCATTGAGCTAATGGCTCACTATGATATTAACAAGTGCCATATAGTCTCTGGAAAAGTATACTTTCAACTGTGAGACAGACAAAGGCAAACAGTGTTGTCATATTATTATAAAAAAGTATTTCAACCTTGCAGAACGCTTAAAAATGTCTCAAAGACTCTAAAGATCCCTGGACCACTCTTTGAATATTATGGTCTTAAAGAATAAAAGTCTGTTGCCCCATTCTCCCCCAATATGTTTCAATTACTCACTTTAAGACTAATTACTATGTTACATGCATTATACAACAACATAGAAAGGTATTATTATCTGCACCTTAATGTGATGAAATTGAGGTTTAAAAGGAATGAGTACTTTGACTAACATTGCATAACTTCCCAATATCGTGGTCAGTTTACAATCCCATACCTTTCTGTCTAAATCTGTGCTCTTCACTATCATGTGAAACACAGACACTAAAGATTTATCAAATAGAAATGCAAAAAAAAAAAACTTAGTAGTTGTCTCATTTCATCCACATACTGAAGAGAATTATGATGTTCAGAGGTACAATTACAATAATCCCATGGATTGAATCAACATTTCCAAATGGATTTATTTTACCCACCTCTTTGACTTTTAAAATTAGATGTTTCTGTTGCAGATAAAATAATTATAGTACGTGAACATTAAAAAGAAAGACCAAACTATTCATGTGAAAGTCACAGTAAGCCAAACTTCATGGCCAAACTACACTGGATAAAATGAACATGCCATATTCTATGATTGCTATTTTTATGATTTTGCAACCAAGTTGATGTAAGCAATGTGATTCCTGGATTTTTTATTCCTATATGTGTATTATCTAATATAGGACCTGGCGAATAATGGTGCATTTGAAACTCTGTACAAAGATGAACCTTGTTTAGAGGATGTTTGCCCATCTATCACACTTAGTAGTATCAAGGAGTAGAGAGAGTTCAGGCTTTGACATCAAATCTGGTGGATTCAAACCTCCCTTTATTACATCTATGGGCTTTTCCTTGTGTCCCGGCTTTCCTGAGTCTCGCATGACACATTTCTAAAACAGTGTTCAGGTTACATCCATCTAAACATTGTTATGAGGATTGAATGAAACAAGAAATGTAAGTACACAGAGACCAGCATTCTGCTTGGGATTAAGTAGCATCTTAAATGCTGGTTTATTTTCTGTTCTTTATTGTCACATGCAGATATCATTTAATGTTACAGATCTAGACATTGAACCAATAGAGAGCATGAAAGGGCAAGTGTATGTACCACTCTTTTTGCATCCAGGCCATTTCCCTAAGTCATGATTCTTATTATGCCCAGGAAACAGCTTCTCCAGCCATTCTTCAACCAAAGTTAGGCCTTGGGTATCTATTTATACTGAGGCTTCCTTGTTAGTCTATTACTCATTCCTAAAGCACAGTCTCCAGATGGACATACAATGAAGTCTATCATAACCATAGCTGAATGAAAGAGACCAAGATCAACAAGTTCCTCCTTTGCATCTAAAAATATCCAAAACTTCCTGGATGGCTTCATGCTGTTCCCTTTGCCACTAACATTCTTGCTTTCCTTCTTCACTTGCCACATGGTAGTATCTGGATTGACTGCGAAGGGCACCAGAGAAAGCATCATACAGAACTCATTTCTTCCTCCTATCTGTGGTTTGGATGCTTTCTGTCTCTTTCAATTAAACAATGTAACTGTAGTTCAAAAGTTGCCCTCTCCACTACAGAAACTTCACCGCCAGGCCAGGAACTAGGTCTTCAACAATCTGTGTCTGAAGTGCCTAGGATAGGTGGGCAAAAAATGTGTTCAACTCACTAATGTTTTCTGTATTCACTTTGCAATTATTTGGTACACCAAGTGAATGGTTTATTAGACCTTAAAACTCTTTAATCTGGACTGTACTGAGGACAAAAGCAATCATACAGAAAACAAGGCTCAAATAAAAAGATATCAAATTCAGCACTTACTTTCATGAAGATCTCCTATTTAAATACCAGGGGCCATTTGTAGAATATATAATTGCCTTTTAAAATCCATGTCTAACCAATCATTTTTAATAGGTATCCAGATATTCACAGATTTATTTTAGGTATCAGTTACCCTGAGAAGTCACCTGACACATCAATTCCTGTCTTATCTTCTTTTTATATCTTTACTTAAATAAATGAATGTGGGTTTCTATGGTATTCTGTGGAGTTCAGATTTTTGTTTCTTTGTAACTGCTACATAATTATATTGGAAATGTGAAAAACAGTTCAGCAGGAAATCAAATGCTGGCTCAGTATGGGTATTTTTATATCCAGAGATACTCAAATATGAACCAGCAAAGAGATTTGGATACTATGCCTCACACACAAATCTAATGACAAGCTGTATTTAAAAGCCAGCCAAAAAAAAAAAAAAAAAAAAACTTTTTTTTAACCAATTTTTCTTTACAGTGTATTAGGGCTGCTTATTTGTTTTACTAAACAAAAACAAAGCTTGGACAGAGGCGCTCTAAAAAGTCAGAGTCCTTTAAACATCAAACTCAGTACAATCTAACTGAAAGAACAGATTGATGAAGATTTGGCATTACCATTGTCAAAAACATGTCAAAAACATGTCAAGTGATATATATATGTACACACACCCACACATACATATATTCTGTACATCAACTCAAGTGAGTTACAGCTTTTTATTGAATACTATAGTTTCTTTTTAACCAATAAGAAATAAATTATATAGGTCGAGGAAAGTTTTTCTTTCAAGCAGGTAATTTTTAAGGAAACCTAGACTGAAATTCATATCTATTTGACTGCAGTGTACAAGTTTTTTCCTCCATACTTGTCATCCACACCTCCCTTCTCCAGCCTAATGTTACTCATTCATTGTTAAATTATGGCAACAGGTGTGGAACAGACTTCAGCATCATTCCAGGCTTATTTGAGTGGGCAGCAGGAGCACTCAAACTTCAACACCAGCTCCTCATTTAAACTCTATTTTATTTTAAAATTTCAGAACCCAGAGGTTTCTAAATATCCAAATTCCTCTGGAACAAAGATCACAGATGCAAATGTTAAATTCCTAACTCTCATCTGGACCTCCCCCACCTAACCACTCCATGCAGTTACTTCAGTGGGGATGAAAGCCTACCAGTAATATCTCATTGTGTTCAAAACTCTTTTACAAACTGGATGAAGGAAGGCTGTGGAAAGGTTGGGCCATCTTTTCTGTAATCTGATTTGTTAGTATCACTCACGGTATGTCTTAATAGCAATTGGGTTTTCCCTAGGAGAATTGAGATGCAAAATGTTCATAAATTAGTCTGAAAAGTGAGACAAAGCTAGGATTAAATCCAATGAGGCTGAGCTCTGGTATTTTTATTAGATGAAATAACTGATGGCATTAACACATGCAGTTATTGTGAAAATTAAACATGCCAAAGAATACAGAAAGGGTTAAAAACCGGCCTAGCACACAGTAAGCTGCGACACTTTTAATTGTAATTATATTTGTCCTTGTTGTCAAGGCTTGTGATCTCCAGCAGAATTTGCTTTTCTTGTTTTCTCATTAGTTTTAACCAGATGCCAATTTCTGTTTATTCAAACTCCATCTCTAATACAGGTTTAGTTTTAGTCTGAATTAAGACTGCGGGGATTATAGCTATGGTTCTCAAGGCATGGTCCCTGGACCTGCAGCATCAGCCTCACATGGAAACTTGTTAGAAATACAAATTCCTGGCCAGCAAGCTATGCTTTAACAAGCCCTCCAGGTGATTCTGACGCACCAAAAAATTTAAGAAACACCTTCCTTTCCTATTCTCTATGTCATAGACTCACTACTCCATTCATAACCTATTCTGCTCCTGAATTTGAATGCTAATATTCTGGGCCCTATATTTTCCTATTTCAATGCATTTGATGGGCCCTTTTAATGTGGAGAATGAGATTATTTCCTTGATCTGGCACTCAAAGGCAAACATAATATCCTTAACTGAATAGGCTTTACTTGAACTTTCTAGCCATATCTACTTCACGTTCCTGATTCCCCTCATCTTCAGAAGATATTCTAAGTTTTTCTTCTCTTGATAAAGCCATTTTCTAATTTTTAAATGCATCTCTTACTGCTACTTCACAATCCTGATGAAAACTCCTACAGAGAATCTTCACAGAGAACACTGTCTATCCCATGTAGTGGAAGAATCTCACCCTACTCCACACTACATACATGATTTTTTTGTGTGAATGATTTGCTAGAGTTGTAAATGCATGTCTCTAGTTTGTTGTCCCCACTTTGCAAAGCTTAAAGGAGCCATGTCTTGTTTTTTAAGTGCTCACCTCTTAATGCACAGTTGGTGCAAATGGAAAAGTTACAGAAATAAGCTGAATCCTATCTGTACTGGTATTTGTGTATTGTTTATAAAATTTTAGAGAAATAATACAGATGTGAGAAGATGGGAGTACTATGTTTTTGGCAAGAATTGCTCTGTGAGTTTTGGCTTTGTGGGCCTGTGGCAGTGGTTCCACATCTCTGAGTATGGTTTCTCATCATTCCTCCAAGGATTTCAGTGCGGCTGAAACAGACAGAGCTTCTCAAGAGATCTACACAGTGCCTGGCCCAAAGATGCTGTTCAAAGGATATTAGTTTCTTTTTTCTTAGCTAATTTGAATTCCAGGGTGGATAGAATTGGCAGCCATAAAAGGAGCAGGCATAACTTATTCTTGTGACAAATAGCATAACCTTTGAATCTGGGTGATATGTGAGGTGAGTCCTTGTCCTATAGAGGCTCTAGGGACCAGAAAATATCAGCATTACAAGTAAGTGAGTGGAGTAACTGACACCCTGACAGCCCAAATGAGATGGAAGCCAAGTTATCATTTAAATGTCCATCATCTGGCTAAGGGGATACCTGACCTAGTACTGAAATGCCAGTTGGGTAGGGGTGGATAAGGATGGAATTGGTGCCTATTTTTAGCCCCAGTTTCTAAGCTTTGGATTAGGGAGTCCTGGAATCAGAAAACATGCTGCATTTTCATTCTTTTGGCTTTGCTGCTTTGTAACCTGCTTGCACTTGTTCAATACAGATCAGACCAACTGATAAACGGGCTTGTTGGGTAATGAAGTGTGGGCTGGCATTATTCAAGGCTTACCTCCAGGCTCTCAGAAGGGAAGAAAAATCAAGGTTCCAAGATCAGAAGCCAGAGTCCTTAGGGAAACAGACAGGGGACGCGAGGCTCCTCTCTGCCAGCACCTTTCTCATGGTCTCTAACTCCCAAGATTGGTTAATATTCTGTGGGGATCCTTCCCTGTGAACACAGTCAGTGCCCCACAATTTTTCTACAAGGAGAGCACAGTTCTTTCTGCCCTTTCTGTCTCAGCTTCAATCACTCAGGGAAAAAAAAAAAAAAAAAAGACATAAAGATCCAGAAAGCCATAATGGATGTGTACCTATCTGCATGGGATTTTTAACAAACAGCTGTCTAGGGTATATTTAAAAAAAGATCCTCCCTGCCAATCAATTAATAGTGTCTGTTTGGAGTTAGAAATCATCAGGGTACTCCCTCATTATACTAATTCATTATTTCCTTTCTTCATTCATTCAGTCATTTAACCAATATTTATTAGGAGCCCCAAAGCACTATGGTAGGCCCACAGGATAAAGCAATAATGAAATGTTACATGAGAACAGGGAACTTAACTATTTCTGCCCTTAGGAATTTATTTTCAAAAGCTCAACCAAATACGTATGTGTTATAAGCCTTGAACAGTTATTTAAAAGAAAATAAACACGTACAACAAAGTGAGGACTTATAACAAAGGAACCAGATCCAACCAGGGTATCAGGAGATAATAAATAATAAGTGCTAACACTTACAGTAGCTTGTATGCAGCAGAAGTTGTTCTAAGCATTAAAAATGCATTAATACATAAAATGAGTTAATACAAATCGCTATTTAAGATGAAATTATAAAGAATCTATAGTTAACCAATTGATGGCTGTTAGAAATATTGTGTCCTGATAGTGTGTTGGCCCATGCCTATAACCCCAGCATTTTGGGAGGCCGAAGCAGGTGAATTGCTTGAGGCCAGGAGTTAGAGACCGGCCTGAGCAACATAGGGAGATCCCATCTTTATTTTTAAAGAAATAAATAAACAATAAAATTAAAATGAAGAAAAAATAAGTAATAAAAAGAGAAATATTATGTCCAATCCTTTCGCCAGATAAATAAGGGATTGGAGCAAAGGATTTTGAATATGCATGCATTATCCTGAGAAGAACATTCTGGAAAGAAGGCAGGAGAGTAATTATGTGGAAACTACAAATCAATATCCCTCAGTCCTACATACTGAGATTCAGCATCCCCGTCTGAAGTATATTATTAAAAAGAAAAAATATGGCCATATTATTTCTAACTCCTCTCATCAAGAGATGACACTTCTCTAGCCCTTCTACCCACTCTTGATCATGTGGCTTGTTTTGGTCAATGAACTATTATCAAACTGGATGCAAATAAAGGCTTGTAAAGTGCTTGCTCACCGGGGCTTCCTGTTGCTTTGCTGCATCTTGTAACATTGAGAACATAATTAAAAAGCTAAGCTAGCCTGCTAGAGGATGAGAGACAAGCTGTGTCTGCTAAAGCACCCCGGACTAAACGGCCCACCATATATACATGTGAGGCCAAGATTGACTTGGCCCATATAAGCCATCAGCTTATATATATGGTCCCATATAAGCCATCAGCTGACCAGAAAGAGTACCAAAACCAGTTCAAACCAAAAGAAGTGCCCAGCTGCTCCACAGAACCAGAAGAAAACATTATGTTAAGTCACCAAATTGTGTCATGATGTAATATGTAGCAAAAGTGAATTAATACATATTAACATCTCCATATGACTATTTCAGCCCTCTTTCTCTCTAAGCCCAAGTGGTTTGAATAAAGGAAGAAAATGAATGACAAATACAATCCTTTAGATATAGGACTGAGATGATAGGGAATGTAAGAGTTGGCAAGCACCAGGTTTCATCTGGAAGAGGATAGAGAGGAGGATAGAAAAGGGAAGGCAGGGGGATGAAAGAGAAAATACAAAGAATATTATCAAGTCCTTACCATAAGTTAGGCTCTGTTTACGCAATTTACCTGTGTTATCTCATTTAACTCCCATAACAAACTTCAAATATAGCCGTTGAGACCTAAAGAGATTGCATAACTTATTTAAGTCACACATTTAACATATGTTAGACCCAATGTTTTCACTGGGGCAATTTGACTTCATAGCTTATGTCCTTAACTAATAACCTCTACTATAACTCAACAGCTTATGTCCTTAACTAATAACCTCTATTGTTATAAAAAAAAATTGTTAGAACAACTTGCCTATGACTTTGGTTTTGGATGAAGAAGGAGCTTTTAAAGTTGCCAACCTGGCCGGGATACTTGGGACTGACAGAGGAAAGAAGATGCTCCTATTAATATATATAATCAAGGAAAATTATGTCCCTCAAATAATCCCAAAGTGATATGTTCCTGAACAAACAATTTGAGAGATTCTCTGGATTAGGTTGGGTAGTTTTGCTTGATGACAAACATGGTCACTTTTTGGCAAATTCTTTTTAATTATACAATAATGATAGAATTGAGTTTATATTATGATTAATACTATAAAATTGATATTAGCATTGACATTATTATCAAGTTTACCTTAAGTTAGGCAAGATTATAGCTCTTAAATATATTTATTCTTCATCACACATCTCTAAAGGTGCACCAACACATTCCCCATTGTACTAGGCTTAATACTTCAATGATGAAATAATCTGTACACCAAACCCCCAGGACACAAGCTTACTTAAGTTACAAACCTGCACATGCACCCCTGAACTTAAAATAAAAATTTAAACACATTACCAATTTTATAGATAGCAAAACTAAGCCACCACAGAGAGAAATTGAGTAACTTAACAAAAGAGTGAGCATGGATAAATGAAAAAGCAATGATTCCAACCTAGCAAACAGATTTATGAGCCTGGATACTTAACCACTATCTTATTCCCTTCAACTGCTGGACTGATAACTTTATTTTCTCCTCCCAGTCCTAATGACTTCTCCATCCCTAAAGAAAACCAAAGCCTGAGGGGTAAATCAACCCAATACTATCCTACCTTTAAAATCTGTTCAGATATCTAGGGTCTTCCTTACTTCCTTTAATATGGTACTACAAACCTGGAGATAACCATTTGCTATGAGCTACCAGTTAGCAGCAACTCGCACCTGAAAAGCTAGCATTCATGTTTTCTGCTTACCTTCTTTCTATATTTTATCTATAGTTGTCTACAGTAAGAGTTATTGTTACAGCTTTGGAGAGGGTGGTTTATAAAGAGTGACAAGGGCAAGATGTAGGTATAGGTGCGTCTTATCTACTCTTATTTTTGAGCTTAGGACTGGGAGGCTATTAATCACACTGACATCCTAAAGGAATGCCTGGCTAAAATCTATTCCTCCATTCTCAATCCACGTGTTCTTTCTTAGACTGGAAGGAACAAGGGCAGGAAAGATGAAAGGAAGAGGTGGTGGGAGAAAATTAGTAGAATGGTTGCAGAACAAAGTAAAAATCAGGGAGGAATTCCCAAGTCAAATCTACTGCTACCTACGTTGCAGGGGTAGCCAGAGAGTCACAAGGATTAGAATAAAACTGACATGGGCTATGCGCAGAATTACATCCATTTTGTGCCTGCATCACTTATCTCCTTGGACTTGGAAGGACATGGACCCCAATTCTTCCCTGTAGGAAATCATGCTTTGGATGCTGATTCCCTCCCCAGGAATCTGTAGCTTCCCTTTAACTTTCCATATTTTAGTTTTCACTTTCCTTCACTGTATTTCTCTTTGCTAAGAACATTGATCTCCAGCTTTGAGAACCTGCATGCCTATCTAAAGTGGGGGATCTAGATAGGAACTTGCCACATGACTATATTCCCAGACAGGCTTATCAGTCTTACTGCTGCAACCTGTGTGATTTTGGGGAGCCTCTTAACCACCTCTGTACCTGAATTTCACTGCCCACTTTAGGCTCTTATCATCTCTTCTCTTCCATGGGTGTTATCTAACTCAATAATAGCTTCTCTCCCACTATCTCCCCTTCACCCTGCACAAGGGAATAGCTATCAATCTTTATGGTGCTCTCGCTCTATGTCATAGGCAATAGAGACAGATGGATATATATGAAGCACAATCTTGATATAAAATCTAAAGTCTTTAGTAAGCATGTGCCTGCTTCATTATGAGGGCCGTTGCTTAGCCATTGATCAATCTACCATGCCTCAACCAAGGGCAAGAAGAAGGTCAATGAACAAACATATTGGCTATGCAATGCAGAAACATAACTGCACCTAGAAGTAACACACAGGCCATAATTACCAAATATTTTGTTGTGGGAAGGGGCAGGGTAACAGACAAAAAATTAAATAAATAATTTTAAATGAAGCTGTGATTCAAAGCCCCCATTAAGGGCCCTATTAACTAGAAGAACATACACTATGTCTCCATCATTTTCTTAAGATTGTAGGTAAATTACTTGCTAAAAGACGTAGTACTATCATTTTTATTTCCATTCTCACTATACCCACAAGTTTAAAGAGTAATCATTTCCGTTCACAGACGAGGAAACTGAGAGTAAAAGAGAAATAATGTACCCAAGGTTATATGACCAAAATGTGGCAAGGACTCCAACTCCATCCAACTCCAGAACCCAAGATTCCTCTAAACAATGAACTGCCTATAAAGGTATATTTTTTTCTAAGTAGCCTGGGTTGGACAAAGCAATTATTCTGGCAACTGGGCCCCATGCTAGGAAAAAACAATCCTTAAGTGCAATAAAACTAGTGTTTTCCCTGGGAGATTTAGCCATCATTAGCGAAAAGCTTCATTTGCAATAATGTGTGCAGCCCGCTGTAGTGGGCCAGAGCAATGCATTATCACTAACTCAGAGAGATTAATTTAACGGGCAATTATATGCTTCCTGCTTTGAAATACTTTCAGGTAACCAATAGTCATGTACTTTCTACAAATGCCATGCCAATTGTCTGCTCCCAGGTACAGAGTGTCAGAGAGTTTTGAAACTTTCTATTCCACACCATCACGTTCTCTGTGAAGGACATTTTAAAATGAGCATTCAGTGCATCTAAAATGCCCCTGCAGAGACTCTATTCTAAGCAAATTGATTCCCACATTCTCAGTATTCTTTACTGTCCTATGGCTATAATCAGCATGGGAAAATTTTAAAAAAAAGAACAAACAAACCAACAATGCCTCATCTTTCTTTGCCTCCCTTTGCAGTATTGTCAAATTTTAATGTTCGTTTATGTGTGTGTGTGTGTGTGTGTGTGTGTGTGTGTGTGTGTGCGCGCATGGTGAGGGAAACAAGGAAGAAGTTGTGAGAAGTAAATTCCTGAAACTCTCCCTTGAGATTCTAATTCAATAGGTCTCAAACGAAATCTGGACTATTCCTTGTTTGTTTGTTTTAGACAATTTTCTAGGCAATTCTAATCAATGGTCTGCTTTGAAAAACAGCCTTCTAAAATGTACTATGCTGTGTTCTCTATTCTATGTTCTTCAGTTTCCTAATCTATAAAATGGGATTAGGATTCTGGTTTTAAAAGTTCCAAAGTTCTGCTATGTTTATTAGGCAATATTCTTACTCTCCATAATAAAATGCATGCTTTTTCATTCCTTCACCTCACCCTTGTCCTTGCCCTAGCCTTCTCCTTTGCACAGAAAAACCGTTTCGTTCACTTGATTCAAGAAATGATGTAGCAGTATCAGAAGCTCAAATTGAGCAAGAAGATAAAGAGGAAAGAAGATTGAAGTGAGGTTTCTGTGGAAGGTGTTTAAGGACATATATTCTGCAGTTAAACAAAGATCTGATCCTGTACCTCCACTCTCATCCTTGCCCTCTGTGAAATTTTGACAAGTTACTTAACCTGTATCTGAGTTTCTTTGCCTGGAAAATGCTTATAATAATAGTAGTCACTTTTCAGCAAATGTTATGAGAATTAAAAGCATCGAAGGGCTTTTTTCAGTTTATTTTCTCATTGTTTTCATTATTCAGCTAAATTTACCTTAAATCTTCATCATCATGGTAAATAGCAGCCATGCACTGTAGTTTCAGGGAATGGGGTTGCTACTAGCAGAGATATACTATACAAGCCTAATCTCTTGTTAGCACATGGACATCTGCCTGCCAGCTCATGTGATAAGATGTGCCAGTTGATCAGGATAACATGTTAGATCCACTACCACTGAAATACTTGGGTAATAAACACAGTGAAGCATCTCAGCCTCGGTTAAGTGAATCTGACACAAGAGGATAAAGAATGACATCTCCATTCTCATTAAGAGATAACAGATGGACTTTGCTAAAATCCACTTTTTAGCCTAATTTCATTTGTTTAAATCTTTTATCTGATGAGATAGCATTCTGAGAGTCATTTTAAATTGTTCTCCCTGGAATGACTATTTCTTTATCATTATTAGAACCTCCCCCTATGGGGTTCTGCTATTCTGAATGGTTTTAAATATTCATCTCAGACAAATTCTATAAATCTCCTTTTAATTTTTTTCCCCAAGACATGGTCTGTGGCTTTGGAAAATAAACATCATGTGATGGGCTAAATAATCAAATCAAGTCAAAACAAGTTTCTAAGCTATGTTCATAGTAATTTCAATTTTTTTAATTTCTCTGTGATCTTATGATTTCCACTTCCCTTTATGATTAAGAAAATAGATGGTTTAATTGTACACTTAAAGTTCTCAAATTTATGCCACCCCAGCTAGTATTTTACAACTAAAATTTAAAGCTCTCTTTTGTATTCTCATCCTTGTTTGTTCTAAGAAAGAAATCTGCAAAAATTCAAACAAAGACAGATTTTTAAGTTTGCAGTCTAATATTTCTTAAGATGTTTGACATGAATTCAGCTTGTTTCTTGGCCAAAATGCACCTGTGCATGAACATCTTCCCTGACTGAGCTTGGTAGCCTTGTCACCCTGCAGCTAACAGCTCAATGCCCTGGAGCATCTATTTTTGTATCTGTTTTTCTTACTTGTGTGGGATTTCTCAAAAATGAGTCTTTTGTTTCTGGATTGTCCTGAAATGTTTCTTAAGCCAAGCTCTGTGTATTCATTGCTTTGAGTACATTTTGCTGATAACTCATAAACCTTGATGGATATTTAAGTAAAGGAGTCTATCTTATTTTAAAAAGGTGGCATGGGCCTTGGTTGTGGATCCTGTTTGTAATCCCAGCAGGAGGATCAGTGGAGGTGAGGAGTTAAAGACTAGCCTGGGCAACATGGTGAGACCCTGTTTCTAAAAAAAAAACCAAAACCAAAAACAAAAACAAAAAAAACTACAATTAGCCAGGCATGATGGCTTGTGCCTGTAGGCCCAGATGCTAGGGAGTCTAAAGCAGGAGGATCACTTGAGCCCAGGGTGGAGTGAGCTATGATATAGTGCCTGGGCAAAAGAGAGAGATCTATCTCAAAGGTAACATGAATTAAGTTTAACTCTACTAGATTGTTTTCAGTATATGTGAAAATTCTTTATAATTATTGACTATCCACATTAAAGAAGACTGGATTTTTTTGAGCTTTTTATAAAGCCTTAAGTCATCTAAATAGATACAACTTTTCTGAGAGGCTTAAGGTGATAATCAGGCTTCAACATGGTAAATTACTAAAAAAATTATGTTTACATCTTTCTAAATGAGGTTAACACTTCTAACAAACCAAAATCACCAAATGGCATGCTTTATTTGCTTCTTCTCTTCATGTTACAAGGAGAAACTGCCGTGATGGTAAGACACTAGGGAAGAAAATAGTACTCCTAAGGCAGGGGAAACAGCAAAGTTTCCAAAGCTCTGTTTCTATCCAGAGCCAGAGTTTGGCAGTGTTGAAACTACATATCAACTTGACTGCATGTTCTCTGCCTGCACTCAAGGCTGCTATAAGAAACAAACATTCGGAGGAGCCAAGATGGCCGAATAGGAACAGCTCCGGTCTACAGCTCCCAGCGTGAGCGACGCAGAAGACGGGTGATTTCTGCATTTCCATCTGAGGTACCGGGTTCATCTCACTAGGGAGTGCCAGACAGTGGGCGCAGGCCAGTGGGTGCGCGCACCGTCCGCGAGCCGAAGCAGGGCGAGGCATTGCCTCACCTGGGAAGCACAAGGGGTCAGGGAGTTCCCTTTCCGAGTCAAAGAAAGGGGTGACGGACGCACCTGGAAAATCGGGTCACTCCAACCCGAATATTGCGCTTTTCAGACCGGCTTAAAAAACGGCGCACCACGAGACTATATCCCACACCTGGCTCGGAGGGTCCTACGCCCACGGAGTCTCGCTGATTGCTAGCACAGCAGTCTGAGATCAAACTGCAAGGCAGCAGCGAGGCTGGGGGAGGGGCGCCCGCCATTGCCCAGGCTTGCTTAGGTAAACAAAGCAGCCAGGAAGCTCGAACTGGGTGGAGCCCACCACAGCTCAAGGAGGCCTGCCTGCCTCTGTAGGCTCCACCTCTGGGGGCAGGGCACAGACAAACAAAAAGACAGCAGTAACCTCTGCAGACTTAAATGTCCCTGTCTGACAGCTTTGAAGAGAGCAGTGGGTCTCCCAGCATGCAGCTGGAGATCTGAGAACGGGCAGACTGCCTCCTCAAGTGGGTCCCTGACCCCTGACCCCTGAGCAGCCTAACTGGGAGGCACCCCCCAGCAGGGGCACACTGACACCTCACATGGCAGGGTATTCCAACAGACCTGCAGCTGAGGGTCCTGTGTTAGAAGGAAAACTAACAAACAGAAAGGACATCCACACCGAAAACCTATCTGTACATCACCATCATCAAAGACCAAAAGTAGATAAAACCACAAAGATGGGGAAAAAACAGAACAGAAAAACTGGAAACTCTAAAACGCAGAGCGCCTCTCCTCCTCCAAAGGAACGCAGTTCCTCACCAGCAATGGAACAAAGCTGGATGGAGAATGACTTTGACGAGCTGAGAGAAGAAGGCTTCAGACGATCAAATTACTCTGAGCTACGGGAGGACATTCAAACCAAAGGCAAAGAAGTTGAAAACTTTGAAAAAAATTTAGAAGAATGTATAACTAGAATAACCAATACAGAGAAGTGCTTAAAGGAGCTGATGGAGCTGAAAACCAAGGCTCGAGAACTACGTGAAGAATGCAGAAGCCTCAGGAGCCGATGCGATCAACTGGAAGAAAGGGTATCAGCAATGGAAGATGAAATGAATGAAATGAAGCGAGAAGGGAAGGTTAGAGAAAAAAGAATAAAAAGAAATGAGCAAAGCCTCCAAGAAATATGGGACTATGTGAAAAGACCAAATCTACATCTCATTGGTGTACCTGAAAGTGATGGGGAGAATGGAACCAAGTTGGAAAACACTCTGCAGGATATTATCCAGGAGAACTTCCGCAATCTAGCAAGGCAGGCCAACGTTCAGATTCAGGAAATACAGAGAACGCCACAAAGATACTCCTCAAGAAGAGCAACTCCAAGACACATAATTGTCAGATTCACCAAAGTTGAAATGAAGGAAAAAATGTTAAGGGCAGCCAGAGAGAAAGGTCGGGTTACCCTCAAAGGGAAGCCCATCAGACTAACAGCGGATCTCTCGGCAGAAACCCTACAAGCCAGAAGAGAGTGGGGCCAATATTCAACATTCTTAAAGAAAAGAATTTTCAACCCAGAATTTCATGTCCAGCCAAACTAAGCTTCATAAGTGAAGGAGAAATAAAATACTTTACAGACAAGCAAATGCTGACAGATTTTGTCACCACCAGGACTGCCCTATAAGAGCTCCTGAAGGAAGCGCTAAACATGGAAAGGAACAACCGGTACCAGCTGCTGCAAAATCATGCCAAAATGTAAAGACCATCGAGGCTAGGAAGAAACTGCATCAACTAACGAGCAAAATCACCAGCTAACATCATAATGACAGGATCAAATTCACACATAACAATATTAACTTTAAATGTAAATGGACTAAATTCTCCAATTAAAAGACACAGACTGGCAAATTGGATAAAGAGTCAAGACCCATCAGTGTGCTGTATTCAGGAAACCCATCTCACGTGCAGAGACACACATAGGTTCAAAATAAAAGGATGGAGGAAGATCTACCAAGCAAATGGAAAACAAAAAAAGGCAGGGGTTGCAATCCTAGTATCTGATAAAACAGACTTTAAACCAACAAAGATCAAAAGAGACAAAGAAGGCCATTACATAATGGTAAAGGGATCAATTCAACAAGAAGAGCTAACTATCCTAAATATATATGCACCCAATACAGGAGCACCAAGATTCATGAAGCAAGTCCTGAGTGACCTACAAAGAGACTTAGACTCCCACACATTAATAATGGGAGACTTTAACACCCCACTGTCAACATTAGACAGATCAATGAGACAGAAAGTCAACAAGGATACCCAGGAATTGAACTCAGCTCTGCACCAAGCAGACCTAATAGACATCTACAGAACTCTCCACCCCAAATCAACAGAATATACATTTTTTTCAGCACCACACCACACCTATTCCAAAATTGACCACATAGTTGGAAGTAAAGCTCTCCTCAGCAAATGTAAAAGAACAGAAATTATAACAAACTGTCTCTCAGACCACAGTGCAATCAAACTAGAACTCAGGATTAAGAATCTCACTCAAAGCTGCTCAACTACATGGAAACTGAACAACCTGCTCCTGAATGACTACTGGGTACATAATGAAATAAAGGCAGAAATAAAGATGTTCTTTAAAACCAACTAGAACAAAGACACAACATACCAGAATCTCTGGGACGCATTCAAAGCAGTGTGTAGAGGGAAATTTATAGCACTAAATGCCCACAAGAGAAAGCAGGAAAGATCCAAAATTCACACCCTAACATCACAATTAAAAGAACTAGAAAAGCAAGAGCAAACACATTCAAAAGCTAGCAGAAGGCAAGAAATAACTAAAATCAGAGCAGAACTGAAGGAAATAGAGACACAAAAAACCCTTCAAAAACTCAATGAATCCAGGAGCTGGTTTTTTGAAAGGATCAACAAAATTGATAGACCACTAGCAAGACTAATAAAGAAAAAAAGAGAGAAGAATCAAATAGACACAATAAAAAATGATAAAGGGGATATCACCACCGATCCCACAGAAATACAAACTACCATCAGAGAATACTACAAACACCTCTACGCAAATAAACTAGAAAATCTAGAAGAAATGGATACATTCCTCGACACATACACTCTCCCAAGACTAAACCAGGAAGAAGTTGAATCTCTGAATAGACCAATAAAAGGAGCTGAAATTGTGGCAATAATCGATAGTTTACCAACCAAAAAGAGTCCAGGACCAGATGGATTCACAGCCGAATTCTACCAGAGGTACAAGGAGGAACTGGTACCATTCCTTCTGAAACTATTCCAATCAATAGAAAAAGAGGGAATCCTCCCTAACTCATTTTATGAGGCCAGCATCATTCTGATACCAAAGCCGGGCAGAGACACAACCAAAAAAGAGAATTTTAGACCAATATCCTTGATGAACATTGATGCAAAAATCCTCAATAAAATACTGGCAAAACGAATCCAGCAGCACATCAAAAAGCTTATCCACCATGATCAAGTGGGCTTCATCCCTGGGATGCAAGGCTGGTTCAATATACGCAAATCAATAAATGTAATCCAGCATATAAACAGAGCCAAAGACAAAAACCACATGATTATCTCAATAGACGCAGAAAAAGCCTTTGACAAAATTCAACAACCCTTCATGCTAAAAACTCTCAATAAATTAGGTATTGATGGGACGTATTTCAAAATAATAAGAGCTATCTATGACAAACCCACAGCCAATATCATACTGAATGGGCAAAAACTGGAAGCATTCCCTTTGAAAACTGGCACAAGACAGGGATGCCCTCTCTCACCACTCCTATTCAACATAGTGTTGGAAGTTCTGGCCAGGGCAATTAGGCAGGAGAAGGAAATAAAGGGTATTCAATTAGGAAAAGAGGAAGTCAAATTGTCCCTGTTTGCAGATGACATGATTGTATATCTAGAAAACCCCATTGTCTCAGCCCAAAATCTCCTTAAGCTGATAAGCAACTTCAGCAAAGTCTCAGGATACAAAATCAATGTACAAAAATCACAAGCATTCTTATATACCAACAACAGACAAACAGAGAGCCAAATCATGAGTGAACTCCCATTCACAATTGCTTCAAAGAGAATAAAATACCTAGGAATCCAACTTACAAGGGATGTGAAGGACCTCTTCAAGGAGAACTACAAACCACTGCTCAAGGAAATAAAAGAGGATACAAACAAATGGAAGAACATTCCATGCTCATGGGTAGGAAGAATCAATATCGTGAAAATGGCCATACTGCCCAAGGTAATTTACAGATTCAATGCCATCCCCATCAAGCTACCAATGACTTTCCTCACAGAATTGGAAAAAACTACTTTAAAGTTCATATGGAACCAAAAAAGAGCCCGCATCGCCAAGTCAATCCTAAGCCAAAAGAACAAAGCTGGAGGCATCACACTACCTGACTTCAAACTATACTACAAGGCTACAGTAACCAAAACAGCATGGTACTGGTACCAAAACAGAGATATAGATCAATGCAACAGAACAGAGCCCTCAGAAATAACGCCGCCTACCTACAACTATCTGATCTTTGACAAACCTGAGAAAAACAAGCAATGGGGAAAGGATTCCCTATTTAATAAATGGTGCTGGGAAAACTGGCTAGCCATATGTAGAAAGCTGAAACTGGATCCCTTCCTTACACCTTATACAAAAATCAATTCAAGATGGATTAAAGATTTAAACGTTAGACCTAAAACCATAAAAACCCTAGAAGAAAACCTAGGCACTACCATTCAGGACATAGGCATGGGCAAGGACTTCATGTCCAAAACACCAAAAGCAATGGCAACAAAAGCCAAAATTGACAAATGGGATCTAATTAAACTAAAGAGCTTCTGCACAGCAAAAGAAACTACCATCAGAGTGAACAGGCAGCCTACAAACTGGGAGAAAATTTTCGCAACCTACTCATCTGACAAAGGGCTAATATCCGGAATCTACAATGAACTCAAACAAATTTACAAGAAAAAAACAAACAACCCCATCAAAAAGTGGGCAAAGGACATGAACAGACACTTCTCAAAAGAAGACATTTATGCAGCCAAAAAACACATGAAAAAATGCTCATCATCACTAGCCATCAGAGAAATGCAAATCAAAACCACTATGAGATACCATCTCATACCAGTTAGAATGGCAATCATTAAAAAGTCAGGAAACAACAGGTGCTGGAGAGGATGTGGAGAAATAGGAACACTTTTACACTGTTGGTGGGACTGGAAACTAGTTCAACCATTGTGGAAGTCAGTGTGGCGATTCCTCAGGGATCTAGAACTAGAAATACCATTTGACCCAGCCATCCCATTACTGGGTATATACCCAAAGGACTATAAATCATGCTGCTATAAAGACACATGCACACGTATGTTTATTGCGGCATTATTCACAATAGCAAAGACTTGGAACCAACCCAAATGTCCAACAATGATAGACTGGATTAAGAAAATGTGGCACATATACATCATGGAATACTATGCAGCCATAAAAAATGATGACTTCATGTCCTTTGTAGGGACATGGATGAAATTGGAAATCATCATTCTCAGTAAACTATCGCAAGAACAAAAAACCAAACACGGCATATTCTCACTCATAGGTGGGAATTGAACAATGAGATCACATGGACACAGGAAGGGGAATATCACACTCTGGGGACTGTGGTGGGGGGGGCGGGGGGAGGGATAGCATTGGAAGATATACCTAATGCTAGATGACGAGTTAGTGGGTGTAGCGCACCAGCATGGCACATGTATACATATGTAACTAACCTGCACAATGTGCACATGTACCCTAAAACTTAAAGTATAATAAAAAAAAAAAAAAGAAACAAACATTCTTCACTCTTGAATCTTCACTCTTTCACACAAGCGTTCTTTTTATAAGGCTTGGTAGAGGACATTTTCCTCACATCACAAAACCAGAAAAAACATTGTTTCTCCTGAACACCTGGATTACTCTTTTTTAAATACAAACAAAGTAATCATTTTTCACAGAGATATTTCCCCTGTTTTCACATTAGCTGCCAGACAGTGAGTGAATTTTAGGGCATATTTCCTATAATTATCATCTATATTTCTCTATATGGTATGTGTGCCCATGAATCTTTCTTAACATTGATTTTTATTTCTTATTCAAATTCCCTTTACCTCAACTCTCTTGGAATTTATTGTCTCCTTTGAATTTGTGCACAACTTCAAAGTCCTTTATAGAAAGAAGCTATTCAGATAATAAGCAACATGTTTTTTGCTAGGAAATAAAATGGACATCCTCTCCCTTTTCCATTTTTTGTATAATAAAAGTTGATAAAGTAGATGTAAGCTCTTAAAGACAGTTTGGCACCAAATTTCACCATATAGCTATTGTTTAGAGACTCCATTATAGTTTTATCAAGTGCAAAGAAGAAAAAAAAGTCAATAAAAAGATTAACAAGTTATTTTAACAACCCTAGACTCTCCTCCCCCATAATAAAATAGCTCAAATGTTTTCACAAAATGTATGAAAAAAATTACATTGAATTGATATTGATATAATTTTAAACAGCCTATGATTACTGTGTAAAATACATTAGACTCTAAAAAAAACAAAAAATTATCTATAATCTCTCCTACCCAAAATAATACATATTGATAAAGCTTCCATCTATATTTTCCACATGTATGTATGCATGTGTATGATTTAAATATGTGTTTCTATATTGTATGTACCATACTATATGTATATGTGTGTCCAATTATTTAAATTATAGTGTACAGTTCTTGAATTTTTTTAACCTACTGTTTTATACTAAATCTTTTCCTCTTACTTTAAAATGCAAAGCATTGTTTTTAATGGCTGAATAATGGATATAAGAATGTTTCCTTCTCACATATCCTGAAACATTTCAGTAATTTACCACAGTGTAAGTTATTTTGTGTTGAGATGATACATTCAAAGGCTCCTTGGGAACAATCAAATAAGTTCCAATGTCAAGGTACCTAACAGAAACAGGGGCTGCTTATCACGTTATTAATAAGCATAAATTGAACTCAGTCACACAAGGAAGAAATGAACAAATCCAGGCACTTACTAATTTCAGTAGCAATGATTGTTATGTTGTGCCATACACTTAATTCTCTGTCAAGTGGTGTTGCCAGCGTTATCTTCCCATCGTCTGCATTAATGTTGAACTGCCTCTCCAGGTCAGTGTGCCGGTCGATGGAAAACCTACAAAACAGACACATCTGTAATCTACTTCAATGTTTATATGATCCATACATTCCACAGCAGACCTTTAGTAATCCTTGGAGAGCCATATTTGTGAAATCAAATGAATTGGGAAACTCAGTGGCATCATAATTTATAAAACAAAAATGACTGAATGAGGCACGAGAAACTTAGTAATTATTGTCCAAGGAGCAATTAGCTACATATGCAACATGTAGTTCATAAACTGCCATCAGTTTCAATAGACAGCATCTTCAAAAATGGATGCTGATGAAGAGTTAATTGGACAATCCATCACATTTATTGGACAGCTTATGATAATTAGCAGTTGCCACAAAATATCATATAAAACAATGAATTCAAGCCCAAAGCAAGATGGCACTAGGCAGCATGTTACGTATGTCCATTCAAATAAAACATGTATTTTGTTAAACTTTCATTTGACTGTACTGCATTTATGGGATTTCATTTTGTTGTTGGTGGTGGTCGTTTGTTTTGTTTTATTTCCTTTTTAAGTAAAGTGTGTATTTAGGTTTTCTATTAGTCTCAGTCCATAGAAATTGGATAGTTGTTGATTTTATGGTTGTTTTTAAAAAGTTTTTTATTCTATAGTTAATGTTTTTTAAAAGTTAGAATCGATATTTTAACATATTTAAACACTACAGTCTACTAAATTAAGAATTTCAAAGGGACATATTAGTAGTTCTTTTATCAAGCAAACTCGTTCAGATAAGAAAATACGTGAGATGTGTGGTGTCTAGAGCAAACTGCTTCTCAGGACCACTAAGTATCAGGGTAGTATCAAGACAAAGAAAAGAAATTATTCTCACGACATTTATTAATATCTTTTTTATACACCAAGATTCATTTCCTGGCTATGGAATGCTGGACCCAATAATCTTTAAGTTTTAAAGACTACAAGGTGGACTATTGGCCCGTAAGTAAGCAGTGATGCACTAAAACAGGATAGGATGGATGCCCAAAGAAGGATATATGCAATTGCATTTCAGGAAGAAAGACTGAAGAAGGCCTTCATGATTGAGGTGATGGCTTAGGAAGTGCACATGAAATCTCTCTATTCATTGATACTCATTAAACTCAAAGCTGAAGCATGGTCCATGCCAGTTAGTACTGAGCGCATTTCTTATACATGTTCTTGATAGATACTTATTATATGACAAAGAATAAGACTATGCCATTATAAAAAAATAAATTCTCCATAATCCTCCCACTATAATTTTGCACTGTTAATATTTTAGTAGAGTTCATTGAAAACATTATGTATGTATGTATATGAATATGCATCTACCAATTTGTACCTATACCTACCTATGAAGATAGCTAGATAAATAACTATACAGCAAGTTACTAGTTAGATAGCTAGATAGGTATAGATAGATATATTAATGGATTTTTCCTTCTCATTTTAGCTATTTCTTTTTCATTAGAGAAGGTATGCATATCATTTATACTAGATTCAAAAGTCATTGTAAAAAGAACTTCTTGTTAAATCCTGCCCACCAAAGATAAGCATAATTAAAATATTTGGAATAATAGTTAAAATGACTTAATTTCTCAATTGTTTATTGAGAAATCATTTGAAAAAATATATTATGAAATGAAATAATAACTGCCCATTTAGTAATGACTTCACTACAAATAAAAACTAAGACACTGACTTTTACCTGTACACTAGGCATTTACAAATCACTCCCATCCCCAATCCCCAGGATAATTGAAGAAATTCAGAGAGAATTTAAGAACTGAGAGACAGGTAAGTTAACATTGCTCTCAACAAAATCCTGAACATGAGGATGTGTTTATTGCAAAGTGTTTCAATGTATTGTATTATGGAAAGAAGACCAAAAGCCATTTTCCTGGGGAATAATGATGGCTGATTCAACCAATGATATTCCAAGTTTAACTGTAAAATAACTAAACAGACATGTGTTTTGCTTCAGATATCATGTGTACTCTGACTCTTAAAAAAGCTAAAAAATGTCCAGAGGATTAATTATCACTTTCTGCATTATATTCATAAATAACTTTGCAGGCATTTCTGGTTCTAGTAATTTTATTATCTCACTGCTGATATTTCACACATCCATGCGTCAACCAATTTCCCAGAGGCCACAGTAAACAAGAATCAGTCTGATCACTGATACTCATGAATCCCAAATCAGAAACACATTCCATGGCTATTTGGTTGCTGTCCAGTAATTGCCTAGAATTTCTAGCCCCAAAGAAGCATGGGGAGCAAAAACGGGGTATTTGGAAGTTGGCATTTAAAAAATGTTGTTGTTTGTGAATCCTTTATTCAAATATGCATCATGCAGAACTCAAATTTAGAGCAAATTATATCTCTATTACTTATGTATTGCTGTTTCTAGGATAATTAGTAAATTCACTGAGCTTCAATTTATTTGCTGGTGAAATAGGAATTATTTATATCCCAGGAACAGTTGTGAAGACTAAAAACAAAGCTTAAATCAATCTCTGGCACTAAGTATGTACTAAAAATAGGCTCATCATCATCATCGTCATCTTCATCTCCCATTAAATGATATATTAATAAACTTCCCTATTTAGAAAGTAGTGAAGAATGCTCTTCCTTGGGAATTTATAAATGGCAGAAAACTTTAAAAAAATGTGTGTTATTTAACTCCCATAACTCTAACAAAGGCAGAGATATTTTTCTCATTTTTTAAAGTTCCAGATCATGACAGACTTTATGGGGTGAGTCATAGGAATTTATAAAATAGTCTATAAATACAGCCCTTTAGTGAGATCAGAGGTAGGAATGTCATAATATTACCAGATTACACAATAGAAGGAACTTGATGGGAAAGAAATGACTTAGTTTAAAATTCACTTTAAAGTCTACCTCAACTATTTTGGAAAACTCCTGCTGCTTCTGTAGAAATTTCACACATTTTATTGCCTAGTAGACTTTATGATAACAGCTCCCAAGAATGACTAAACAGCACAAAAATTCTGACTCAACGTTTTGGTCAACAAGCATGCATGAAACACCAAATTTGTACCAAGCACAGTGCTAGATTCCTTTTCCTTCTCCCACCCTTCTTTTCTTGGTTTCTTATATAATGAATAACAGAAAAATAAAACTCTTAGGAACTAGGACATTTTAGGTAACACAACTGTTAAACAGCGGAACCAGAATGAATACTCGCTTCTGAGTCATTGTGAAGTTCATGCATAAACCAAACACATAAAGGGCTTATCTTATTCATGCATAAAATGGGGATAGTAATAGTCCCTGGCTAACAAGATTGCTGTGAAGATCACATGAGATGATAGGTGTGCCACACTTTACCAACATGTGTGTGCTGACCGCTGTGTATAACACAGTGTGAAGGGCCCTCATATCATTTGTATCATGGTGACATCCTTGAATGCCTACACATGTACTCAATTTTCTGAACCCCAAACTGGGACACAACATTCTATGATTTGAATGTTTGTGTGATTCCCAAAATACATATGTTGATATCCTAACTCCCAAGGTGATCGTATTAGAAGGTGGGGCTTTCAGGAGGTGATTAGGATGTGAAGCCCTCACAAATGAAATTAGTTCCCTTATAAAAAAGACCCCAGGGATCTAGCAAGCCCCCTTCCTCCATTGTGAGGACACAGTGAGAAGTTGATTGTCTGCAACCCAGAAGAGGGCCCTTACCAGAATCCGATCACACTGGCATGCTAATCTTGGACTTCCCAACTTTCAGAATTTCGATTAATTCATTTCTTTTTTTTTTAACTTTATTTGAAGTTCAGAGTTACATGTGCAGGATGTGCAGGTTTATTACATAGGTAAATGTGTGTCATGGGGATTCATTGTACAGATTATTTCATCACCCAGGTCTTAAGCCTAGTATCCATTAGTTATTTTTTCTGATCCTCTCCCTCCTCCCTCCCTCTACCCTCTAGCAGGCCCCAGTGTTCCCCTTTATGTGTCCATATGTCTCATCATTTAGTTCCCTCTTATAAGTGAGTATATGTGGTATTTGGATTTATGTTCCTGAATTAGTTTGCTAATGATAATGGCCTCCAGCTCCATCCATGTCCCTGCAAAGGACATGATCTCATTCTTTTTTATGGCTGCATAGTATTCCATGGTATATGTGTGCCACATTTTCCTTATCCAGTCTATTGTTGATGGGCATTTCAGTTGGTTCCATGTCTTTGGTATTGTGAATAGTGCTGCAATTAACCTATGCATGCCTGTGTCTTTATAACGGAATGATTTATATTCCTTTGGGTATATGCCCAGTAATGGAATTGCTGGGTCAAATGATATTTCTGTCTCTAGGTAACTGAGGAATCACCACACTGCCTTCCACGATGGTTGAACTAATTCATATTCCCACTAACAGAAGAAATTAATTTCTATACGGTTTATAAGCCATCCAGTCTATTTTGTAGTTTGCATTTTGTATAGAAGCCCAAATGGACTACAAAACAGAATATAACAAGTGATTATTTTTCTCATTTTGGAATATACTGATTTGAACATATCTTAGACACCTAAATATTAAAATGCAATATCTAAGTAAACATGATTTATTGAATAAGATGGTAAGAATTTAGACCTTCCCTGAAAGCCAGAGAATAAAAGCTTCCATCTCCCAAGTTCTTTACAGGCCTATGAATAAACTTTAAATCCACCTTCCTTTTCTCACAAACTCTGCTCTGCTGCTTGAAGACATGACCTGGATTTCTGTGTGTTTCTTTAGGCTGCCAGGAGAGTCTTAGTCCAAAGGCCACTCATATACCCATAATCTCCTCACAAAAAACACGGGTCCACAGTCTGTTATCCTGAGTTCTCATCTTAGTCTCATTACTGGCGTATATGTGATTTAGTTATGTTATTACTGTTCCCTGATCTGTAAAATGGGGATTGTACCATGATTTATGAACTTTAAATGAGGTAATGCTTATAAAATACTTATTAAGGGTCTGACACCAAAACAAAAGCTCTGTAAACATGTATTTTAACAGCTTTAGTGTCAGCATTATTTATAAGGAAAAGACTGTAAGATTTCTATTGATGATTCCCTGACTTTTTCTAAGGTCCAAGGTAGTTTTCCTTTCACTGTTTACTTCTCTGTCCTTAAAGAAGTTCATCTGGGCCTTAATGTTAGTGTCCTGCGTGTACACAGGAAATTAGAGGAATTTGGTTTAAGTGATGAAAGATGAAGCTGGGAAGGGAGAATAAATAGGAACCGATCTCTGCATTTCTGGTACCAGTATTTTTTTTCCACCAACTTTTCTAACCAAAATCTCTGTCCTTGAACTGATCATTGAAGATTCAAAGGTTTATTAGGTTGATTTTTGTATTCATATTGAGTAGTTTATAAGCCTTTAATCTTAGTTATAAGATTAATCACAAAATCAGAAAGGATGCCATTTTTGGAATGCTCTCAGCAAATGCTGTCCTAATCACCCTCCTCCCCACCCCCATACCACAGCTATGCCAACCCCATCTCTAGCTGCAAAGATTCAGTTTGCTTTTTTCTGGTCCTCACAGCTGCCACTATACATTCCACCATTTTAATTCCTCCCCTCTCTTCCTACTCATTTCACTGTGTGATAAAACTGCAGCATCAATAAAGGACAACATTTCATTACAAAACTCTGATATAGGCCCTTTCTTTAAGCCAAATCACAGAAAATACTTAAAAAAAAAGAGTGGGTTAAAAATAACAACTCTGGGGTAATGACTTAAATTTCAGAATTCAAAGTATCTGTATCATGTAATTTCTCAGGCATCATGATTTGAGGTAGAAATCTCAGAAGTAGATCCTCAAGCCACTTTGTTTTCCTGTGATTCTCAGCATCCTTCTGAGTAGCACCACATAAAATAGAATAAAAACAACCTGAGGAGCCAGAGAGTCTTCAGTGGAATCTCACCTGGGGGAATAACATTGAAACTCTCAGGTTGGTGCAAAAGTAATTATGGTTTTTGCTATCTCTTAATCTCAGATGTTCATCTATAAATAGGAGAAAATCTACTTCACAAGGATTGCTTTGCAGTAAATGAGTTGATAAATGATTCACATTTAGACACAAAAATAAATAAATATAAATGATGAGCCAATTCCTCAATCTGTAAGAGTTCTCTTAAAGCCCAAATTGACTGTGGAGATGAATATCCAAAAACGAAAAGAAATAAATAAGAACTACTAGTCACATGTTTTAGTAGCTTCGGGAAAGACAGAATTCTTTATGTGACACTCAAAAAGTATTTCCAAACTCTTCGTGGTGTTTGTCTATACCAGGGTTTACTGTTTTCAAAATATCTCTTACTATAGGTATCTCCATAGAGCATAGACTTCAAGCAAAGAGATGAGAAGCTATATCATGTTTCCTTGCTCACATCTTACCTACAGGAGCCTTTTATACCTGGCCCTAGAGTTTGCTGATTGACCCTTTTTTAAGAATTTTCTCTCCTATTTCTGTATAAACATTTGCCTGACCTTTGCTCTTTAAGCACAAGGAAAGAATGTTTGATTCATATAGCATCACATAGATTGTGAAGTTACTCAAAAAAGGCTTGCTGGAAGGATGTGTGAACACTTATTAAGCATGGAATATTATTTTGTGTGAAACATAGTACTAAAAATATGAGGAAAGGGAATAGATGGGAGAGAAAAAGAGAAATAAAAAAGGGAATAGATAAGAGAGAAAAAGAGAAAGAAAAAAATTAATTTGGATCCTACTTTTCACATTGAAAAGGCTAATGAGTTTTATTTTAGGTTAAAAAAAATCTAGTATTTTTATCTTTAGAATTGAAGTTTCTGTTCTAATTTCTTGAGAATTGTGCATATATTGGATTTGCTGCTCATTTGCAGAATTATTTGAAATGCTTTAGACAGAAGAGCTAGTTTTGAGAAGAATAGCATGCACATTGGAGAGTCATCTTCCTGCCACAGTAAGAAGAAACTTCTCATTAACACAATGGGAAGTGGCATGTGAGAAAATGGGCTCCTTGGGTCACATTAATATCAATTCTAATGATGGAAGTTTTAGAAATAGACAGTCTCTTTCTACTGCAATAGATATAGTTTAGAAACTGCATTGTCCTTGATAACTAATATTCACAAGAGACTTATTTAAACTTTCTCACTTTTAATCCAACAAGTATCCTGATTGGCTTCTAATACCACCATTCCTCTAATCTACAGTAGTATTTCTTGGAAGTAAATGCTAAGGAACTGATCCTTTTACTTTGCGGAATTAAGGATACAAATTCAAGAAAATTCCTAATGGCTTAGCAACTTGTTCAAAGACGATAATTTAATACACAGCACACTAACCACAGACACAAGCCAATGTCACCAGTTCATTCAATTCAGAGTAGCTTCGAGAGATCAAAAGTAAATTTAAGAAAATACACTGGTGTAGTGGTTGAGAATAGGTCAAAATGGCCAACTGAATATTATTGCATTGGGGAAATAACATACTTCTGCATTGCTGCTACTGTTGATATTAAATAGAAACTTTCACCAGAGTAATATGTTTCCTCAATTAACACAGCCCAGCTGCATACATTTCATACTGATATTTGGCACAAAAATTCCACCTCTTTCTGTGTGTGTGTGTGGACTTACATTAGATTTTTTGTTGCTAACATATATTTATTTAAAGCATCTCCTACCTCCTTTCCCTCAACCCATACCCAATGCTACATATCCACACAAAGCCTCCATCTCCTACTCTATTTTGTTTTTTTGTAATAAAGAACATCAATCTGTGACAATATACATGCAGAACACTTTCAAGATTTTCAGAACAAAGTTTTGAATGTCGTGGATCTTTCATTTTTACTCCCTGTGACTCCAGTACAACACGAACAAACTGCAATTAAGTCTGGAATGTACACAGCAGCCATACAGGTTACCATAACAGATAAATGAATAATAGGTGAAAAAAGTTATTCTGAACTGCATTCTTTCTACTGCAATTTGTGCGAAACAGCTGATGATTTTTCCAGGAACTAACTCTTTTATTCATAACTTCTGTGCTATGCCAATTTATATATCAGCACTTCAATTACCTCATCTAAAAAATGAGAACAACAGGATTGCCTTAAAAGGTTAAGGTATGCCCCAAATGAGAGTATGCAATCAAGATTTCCTTGTACTTTAAAACATGGCATCACAGTGAGTGTTTATCATTACTTGTAGATGACACTGCCAAATATCCAGATTTTTTTAAAATAACAACAAACATATTTGAAAGATTCTGGTGTGAGGGCTCTACATGGAAAAAGCCATAATTTTGTGATATTTCTATTTGCTATTTGCACCAATAGGGTGAAGCAAATTCACTCAACACGATCAATGTATCTTTACATTATTTAGGGTAAATATAGAACTCTCAGATTCCAAATCTATGTCAATTCATTTCAGGTCTCATTTCTTCAGTGTGTTTGTGTTGTTTTAAAGTTTGTTCCACAAACACTTTTAGAAAATAACATAATAAAACCATAATCACATGTATAATTTTATGTAACACTGGAACAAAAAAAAAGAAAATGCTCCAGAGTAAATCCCACATTCAGTTTGACTCATGATCAATTCTTCAATGTTTACATAATACTTTTGAAAAATTTGAACTTTTTTCCCCTGGAGCCAGGAAAATAATAGTGCATTATGAGAATTCTAAATGTGATGATGTAACAAAAAATGCAAAAATGAAATGCAGTTTTACACATTGTGAAAGGATTACATTGCAAATTTGATTTTTTATTTAATGTCAACAAAGTTTTAGTGACTGCCCCTTAGTGCCGAGTATCATAAAACTATCATGCTTGTATGTGTGCATAATATTAAGAGGAGTGACATGATATAAACTCAGGAGTGATATGATCTAAACCACAGCTGAATTGCATAGAACTTTATATGGTAGCAGAAATATGCTCTGTGTTATCCAGTATGGTAACCACTAACTATATGTGGCTATTTCACCCTAGCTATCTAGCTAGTGTAACTGAGAAATTGAAATTTTTACTTTATTTAATTTAAATTAATTTTCTGTAACTTCAATGAGCTGTATTTGGCTAGTGGCCACAATATCAAACAGCACAGGTCGAAACTGAGGTAGAAATCATCTTGGCAGCTGTGTGGAGATCAAAGGATAAGAGATGAGCAAATGAGGCTGTTATCACTACTCAAGTTAGAGATGATGGTGTTTGAGCTTAGGAAGTAAAATAAACCAGGCATAGTGATTATTTGAACATGGAAAGCAAAGGAAGTGAAGAAGTCTTGAAGAAACACTCCTATAGTATGTTTGTAACATGTTCAATTACTCTATATTGGTTTTCAAGTTAAAAATAGTTCTGTCTTGTTTTCTTTTACCCATTTCTATGTAATTATTCAAGTACAACAAATGGATCAGAAATGTTCACATAAATATTAGCAAAAGATGACTAAATATTTCTAGAAATGCATGGAATCCGGAAGTTCTGGTGGCTATTTGAGATTTATCTCTTGTGTGTGCTTCTCTATGATGGGAGGTTAGGAGTTGTGAGGATAAACTCTCTTACACCAAAGCCCTCATGATGACCTTGATCCTCACTGCTTACCCCCAGGACACAAGAAGCCCAATCGATTTCTATGAATGTCCACAGGTCCACATTGACCCAGCAATGCCAGGGGCAATCTACAAGTGAAGAGAATCTTTCCCCTCCCTGAAATGATATCTTTTTGGAGCTGTTGATCGTGCCTGTCATACTTCTCTCCATAGGAAATAGAGTCAAGGTTGACAAACGCTAATAGGTAACAGAAGAGACAACAGAATGATGAAGTATAAAAAAAGCATCTTACAATGTAACAGTTCAGACCATAGGACCAGATCCAGTACTCATATTTAATAATATATTTAATGCATTTATTGAATCTTTCCTAATTTTTGACCTTTCTGCTAAGCCCTATATATTAATTTTTCATTTAATCTTTCCTATAATCTAGTGGAGTAGCCCATTATAGACTTTCTTGTCTCTCAATGTTTATAGTTGTAAAATGGGGATAACATGCATTTCCTCCGTCATAAAGTTAGTAAGAGAAATATGTATAATATCTTGACCATAGTATCTGTCACATAGTAAACTCTTATTAAATGTTGGAAAGTTATGAGGATGGTGATATTTGATTATGTAAGTGGTTTCCATTTTGGTAAAAATTGTTTACCATATAGAAAAAAACATATTTGAGGAAAGCATGCACACCAAAATTAATTTTAAAAGTAGTGTATAACTATGTCAAAATAGGTTATGTAAAATGTCATAAATGAGTATATAATTTGAAATTTTAATTGGATATTAAGGTTCATTTACCAAATAATAAGGAGTTTTGGTAAATACTGGGAATGAACTGTTAAGCAAGATATGGTCTATTAACTCTTTTCCCCCCCCCAAAGACAAGGTCTCACGAGGTCTCCCTCTGTCACCTAGGCTGGAGTTCAGTGGCACGATCCCAGCTCACTGTCACCTTCACTTCCCAGGGTCAAGTGATCCTCTTGCCTCAGCCTCCTGGGTAGCTGAGATTACGGGTATGCACCACCACGCCCGGCTATTTCTTTGTATGTTTTATAGATAGGAGGTTTCACCATGTTGCCTAGGCTGGTGGTCTCTCAACCTTAAAACTAGAGATGCATTTATATTCAAATGATGTGCTTATTTACACACTATAATAATAGGATAAACACACCATTCCAGTGTTCTGCCAGATGTAATTCATTCTGGGGACAAAAATATTTTTTACCAAAAATGCTCATTCCTAAACGCAATGTCTACCCACACGGTCTCACCCGGTCTTGTACAATTAAACAAATGCAAAATGCAAGATCATGTATTTGATGTCCAATAAATGTTAGCCAGAAATGTGTCCTCTTTTGCCATTAAACAGACAATTCTCTTCACTACAGTCTACACCCTGTTCCTCTTCCATACTTGTTCTGTCCAATCTCAGACCCTTGGCTTTGGAAGGGCATTTAGGTCTTTTCCTGTGCTTTGTACCACTAAATATATTTTCCATGACTTCGACCCATTAAGGACTTTCATAAATTGTATTCTCATTTACTATGAAGGTGTGAACCTCGGTAGATCATCCCAAACTTGATTTGTCCCCTATTGCCTGTTTCAAAGGCACTTCAGCTAGACCCGTCCCATTCCCCAGCAAGCAGACTTCATACTCATGGGGTAGAGCTAATAAACATTTGACAAATGAATGAAAATAGAAGCTCTCCATTTCCACCGTGCTCTCTTCTTAAAATATGCAATATTATGTTTTCCTCTGCAACATTAAGTCAAATCTGATTGTCCTTATCAAAAGCAAAGCTGTATAATACATCATGTCAAACCAGAATGTAGAAATATAAGGAAAAATAAAGGTTTAGTTAAAATGACTCCCATAAATATTTGAACATCAGATAAGGATGTCAATCTCCCTTTGTCATGATGCAAAATAGAGGATTTATTTTGCCTTATGAGTATAATAATGTTAGATATCATGGCTCAGCCTACACAAGCATCTTTGTTTCTCTCAGAATATAAGCATTATTATTAAGTTTTGTTCCCTAGAGAATACAGAAGCTTCACCAATCAGAAAAAAAAAAGCTGATTTTAAACCCTAGATCAGCACTTTCTTTTTTTGTTTCTCTCTCAAGATTCTTGTGCAATCTCTACCACCTTAGATCACTAGTTTTAAAATATTTTACAAATACATGTAATTTGATTATTATTTATAACTAATAGCCAGGTCTAGTATACCACACTGATAATATTTCAGGCAACTTAACTTGCCACTATGAGGTTTGCATCTCAAAATGTGTAACAAATATATATTTATCTAAGGGAAGACACTGTAGGTTGAGAAGTGTGCCCTGTTCTATCCAATATGGTAACCACTGTGGATTTGGGAGCTGGACAGCTAGCGGTGTGAATTCAGTAAAATTGGAGGAGCCAAGATGGCCGAATAGGAACAGCTCCGGTCTACAGCTCCCAGCGTGAGCGACGCAGAAGACGGGTGATTTCTGCATTTCCATCTGAGGTACCGGGTTTCTCTCACTAGGGAGTGCCAGACAGTGGGCGCAGGCCAGTGGGTGCGTGCACCATGCGCGAGCCAAAGCAGGGCGAGGCATTGCCTCACCTGGGAAGCGCAAGGGGTCAGGGAGTTCCCTTTCCGAGTCAAAGAAAGGGGTGACGGACGCACCTGGAAAATCGGGTCACTCCCACCCGAATATTGCCCTTTTCAGACCGGCTTAAAAAGCGGCGAACCATGAGATTATATCCCACACCTGGCTCGGAGGGCCCTACGCCCACGGAGTCTCGCTGATTTCTAGCACAGCAGTCTGAGATCAAACTGCAAGGCGGCAGCGAGGCTGGGGGAGGGGCGCCCGCCATTGCCCAGGCTTGCTTAGGTAAACAAAGCAGCCGGGAAGCTCCAACTGGGTGGAGCCCACCACAGCTCAAGGAGGCCTGCCTGCCTCTGTAGGCTCCACCTCTGGGGGCAGGGCACAGACAAACAAAGAGACAGCAGAAACCTCTGCAGACTTAAGTGTCCCTGTCTGACAGCTTTGAAGAGAGCAGTGGTTCTCCCAGCACACAGCTGGAGATCTGAGAACGGGCAGACTGCCTCCTCAAGTGGGTCCCTGACCCCTGACCCCCGAGCAGCCTAACTGGGAGGCACCCCCCAGCAGGGGCACACTGACACCTCACACGGCAGGGTATTCCAACAGACCTGCAGCTGAGGGTCCTGTCTGTTAGAAGGAAAACTAACAAACAGAAAGGACATCCACACCGAAAACCCATCTGTACATCACCATCATCAAAGACCAAAAGTAGATAAAACCACAAAGATGGGGAAAAAACAGAACAGAAAAACTGGAAACTCTAAAACGCAGAGCGCCTCTCCTCCTCCAAAGGAACGCAGTTCCTCACCAGCAACGGAACAAAGCTGGATGGAGAATGACTTTGATGAGCTGAGAGAAGAAGGCTTCAGACGATCAAATTACTCTGAGCTACGGGAGGACATTCAAACCAAAGGCAAAGAAGTTGAAAACTTTGAAAAAAATTTAGAAGAATGTATAACTAGAATAACCAATACAGAGAAGTGCTTAAAGGAGCTGATGGAGCTGAAAACCAAGGCTCGAGAACTACGTGAAGAATGCAGAAGCCTCAGGAGCCGATGCGATCAACTGGAAGAAAGGGTATCAGCGATGGAAGATGAAATGAATGAAATGAAGCGAGAAGGGAAGGTTAGAGAAAAAAGAATAAAAAGAAATGAGCAAAGCCTCCAAGAAATATGGGACTATGTGAAAAGACCAAATCTACGTCTGATTGGTGTACCTGAAAGTGATAGGGAGAATGGAACCAAGTTGGAAAACACTCTGCAGGATATTATCCAGGAGAACTTCCCCAATCTAGCAAGGCAGGCCAACGTTCAGATTCAGGAAATACAGAGAACGCCACAAAGATACTCCTCAAGAAGAGCAACTCCAAGACACATAATTGTCAGATTCACCAAAGTTGAAATGAAGGAAAAAATGTTAAGGGCAGCCAGAGAGAAAGGTCGGGTTACCCTCAAAGGGAAGCCCATCAGACTAACAGCGGATCTCTCGGCAGAAACCCTACAAGCCAGAAGAGAGTGGGGGCCAATATTCAACATTCTTAAAGAAAAGAATTTTCAACCCAGAATTTCATATCCAGCCAAACTAAGCTTCATAAGTGAAGGAGAAATAAAATACTTCACAGACAAGCAAATGCTGAGAGACTTGGTCACCACTAGGCCTGCCCTAAAAGAGCTCCTGAAGGAAGCGCTAAACATGGAAAGGAACAACCGGTACCAGCCGCTGCAAAATCATGCCAAAATGTAAAGACCATCGAGACTAGGAAGAAACTGCATCAACTAACCAGCAAAATCACCAGCTAACATCATAATGACAGGATCAAATTCACACATAACAATATTAACTTTAAATGTAAATGGACTAAATTCTCCATTTAAAAGACACAGACTGGCAAATTGGATAAAGAGTCAAGACCCATCAGTGTGCTGTATTCAGGAAGCCCATCTCACGTGCAGAGACACACATAGGTTCAAAATAAAAGGATGGAGGAAGATCTACCAAGGAAATGGAAAACAAAAAAAAGGCAGGGGTTGCAATCCTAGTATCTGATAAAACAGACTTTAAACCAACAAAGATCAAAAGAGACAAAGAAGGCCATTACATAATGGTAAAGGGATCAATTCAACAAGAAGAGCTAACTATCCTAAATATATATGCACCCAATACAGGAGCACCAAGATTTATAAAGCAAGTCCTGAGTGACCTACAAAGAGACTTAGACTCCCACACATTAATAATGGGAGACTTTAACACCCCACTGTCAACATTAGACAGATCAATGAGACAGAAAGTCAACAAGGATACCCAGGAATTGAACTCAGCTCTGCACCAAGCGGACCTAATAGACATCTACAGAACTCTCCACCCCAAATCAACAGAATATACATTTTTTTCAGCACCACACCACACCTATTCCAAAATTGACCACATAGTTGGAAGTAAAGCTCTCCTCAGCAAATGTAAAAGAACAGAAATTATAACAAACTATCTCTCAGATCACAGTGCAATCAAACTAGAACTCAGGATTAAGAATCTCACTCAAAGCTGCTCAACTACATGGAAACTGAACAACCTGCTCCTGAATGACTACTGGGTACGTAACGAAATGAAGGCAGAAATAAAGATGTTCTTTAAAACCAACGAGAACAAAGACACAACATACCAGAATCTCTGGGACACATTCAAAACAGTGTGTAGAGGGAAATTTATAGCACTAAATGCCCACAAGAGAAAGCAGGAAAGATCCAAAATTCACACCCTAACATCACAATTAAACGAACTAGAAAAGCAAGAGCAAACACATTCAAAAGCTAGCAGAAGGCAAGAAATAACTAAAATCAGAGCAGAACTGAAGGAAATAGAGACACAAAAAACCCTTCAAAAACTCAATGAATCCAGGAGCTGGTTTTTTGAAAGGATCAACAAAATTGATAGACCACTAGCAAGACTAATAAAGAAAAAAAGAGAGAAGAATCAAATAGACACAATAAAAAATGATAAAGGGGATATCACCACCGATCCCACAGAAATACAAACTACCATCAGAGAATACCACAAACACCTCTGCGCAAATAAACTAGAAAATCTAGAAGAAATGGATACATTCCTCGACACATACACTCTCCCAAGACTAAACCAGGAAGAAGTTGAATCTCTGAATAGACCAATAAAAGGAGCTGAAATTGTGGCAATAATCGATAGTTTACCAACCAAAAAGAGTCCAGGACCAGATGGATTCACAGCCGAATTCTACCAGAGGTACAAGGAGGAACTGGTACCATTCCTTCTGAAACTATTCCAATCAATAGAAAAAGAGGGAATCCTCCCTAACTCATTTTATGAGGCCAGCATCATTCTGATACCAAAGCCGGGCAGAGACACAACCAAAAAAGAGAATTTTAGACCAATATCCTTGATGAACATTGATGCAAAAATCCTCAATAAAATACTGGCAAAACGAATCCAGCAGCACATCAAAAAGCTTATCCACCATGATCAAGTGGGCTTCATCCCTGGGATGCAAGGCTGGTTCAATATACGCAAATCAATAAATGTAATCCAGCATATAAACAGAGCCAAAGACAAAAACCACATGATTATCTCAATAGACGCAGAAAAAGCCTTTGACAAAATTCAACAACCCTTCATGCTAAAAACTCTCAATAAATTAGGTATTGATGGGACGTATTTCAAAATAATAAGAGCTATCTATGACAAACCCACAGCCAATATCATACTGAATGGGCAAAAACTGGAAGCATTCCCTTTGAAAACTGGCACAAGACAGGGATGCCCTCTCTCACCACTCCTATTCAACATAGTGTTGGAAGTTCTGGCCAGGGCAATTAGGCAGGAGAAGGAAATAAAGGGTATTCAATTAGGAAAAGAGGAAGTCAAATTGTCCCTGTTTGCAGATGACATGATTGTATATCTAGAAAACCCCATTGTCTCAGCCCAAAATCTCCTTAAGCTGATAAGCAACTTCAGCAAAGTCTCAGGATACAAAATCAATGTACAAAAATCACAAGCATTCTTATACACCAACAACAGACAAACAGAGAGCCAAATCATGAGTGAACTCCCATTCACAATTGCTTCAAAGAGAATAAAATACCTAGGAATCCAACTTACAAGGGATGTGAAGGACCTCTTCAAGGAGAACTACAAACCACTGCTCAAGGAAATAAAAGAGGATACAAACAAATGGAAGAACATTCCATGCTCATGGGTAGGAAGAATCAATATCGTGAAAATGGCCATACTGCCCAAGGTAATTTACAGATTCAATGCCATCCCCATCAAGCTACCAATGACTTTCCTCACAGAATTGGAAAAAACTACTTTAAAGTTCATATGGAACCAAAAAAGAGCCCGCATCGCCAAGTCAATCCTAAGCCAAAAGAACAAAGCTGGAGGCATCACACTACCTGACTTCAAACTATACTACAAGGCTACAGTAACCAAAACAGCATGGTACTGGTACCAAAACAGAGATATAGATCAATGCAACAGAACAGAGCCCTCAGAAATAACGCCGCCTACCTACAACTATCTGATCTTTGACAAACCTGAGAAAAACAAGCAATGGGGAAAGGATTCCCTATTTAATAAATGGTGCTGGGAAAACTGGCTAGCCATATGTAGAAAGCTGAAACTGGATCCCTTCCTTACACCTTATACAAAAATCAATTCAAGATGGATTAAAGATTTAAACGTTAGACCTAAAACCATAAAAACCCTAGAAGAAAACCTAGGCACTACCATTCAGGACATAGGCATGGGCAAGGACTTCATGTCCAAAACACCAAAAGCAATGGCAACAAAAGACAAAATTGACAAATGGGATCTAATTAAACTAAAGAGCTTCTGCACAGCAAAAGAAACTACCATCAGAGTGAACAGGCAACCTACAAAATGGGAGAAAATTTTCGCAACCTACTCATCTGACAAAGGGCTAATATCCGGAATCTACAATGAACTCAAACAAATTTACAAGAAAAAAACAAACAACCCCATCAAAAAGTGGGCAAAGGACATGAACAGACACTTCTCAAAAGAAGACATTTATGCAGCCAAAAAACACATGAAAAAATGCTCATCATCACTGGCCATCAGAGAAATGCAAATCAAAACCACAATGAGATACCATCTCACACCAGTTAGAATGGCAATCATTAAAAAGTCAGGAAACAACAGGTGCTGGAGAGGATGTGGAGAAATAGGAACACTTTTACACTGTTGGTGGGACTGGAAACTAGTTCAACCATTGTGGAAGTCAGTGTGGCGATTCCTCAGGGATCTAGAACTAGAAATACCATTTGACCCAGCCATCCCATTACTGGGTATATACCCAAAGGACTATAAATCATGCTGCTATAAAGACACATGCACACGTATGTTTATTGCGGCATTATTCACAATAGCAAAGACTTGGAACCAACCCAAATGTCCAACAATGATAGACTGGATTAAGAAAATGTGGCACATATACACCATGGAATACTATGCAGCCATAAAAAATGATGAGTTCGTGTTCTTTGTAGGGACATGGATGAAATTGGAAATCATCATTCTCAGTAAACTATCACAAGAACAAAAAACCAAACATGGCATATTCTCACTCATAGGTGGGAATTGAACAATGAGATCACATGGACACAGGAAGGGGAATATCACACTCTGGGGACTGTGGTGGGGTGGGGGGAGGGGGGAGGGATAGCATTGGGAGATATACCTAATGCTAGATGACAAGTTAGTGGGTGCAGCGCACCAGCATGGCACATGTATACATACATATGTAACTAACCTGCACAATGTGCACATGTACCCTAAAACTTAAAGTATAATAAAAAAAACAAAAAACAAAAAACAAAAACAAACAAACAAACAAAAAATTCAGTAAAATTACTTCATTACTACAGAGTTTCAGTGTGCGTATCCATTATAGACATGAAGAACTGCTGTGCAGATTGCCCTTCAAAGGAGGATGCCAGAGATGTGAGGGGCGTGGTCAGGAGACAGCCTCCAGCTATCCACTACTTAGGGTCCATCTCAGTTTCAGAAAATCCCCACTCCAGAGGTTTTCTGAAGACTAAGCAAACAGAGATATAAAGGCCCTACCACTTTGGCATGACGTAGTACTCCTCTGATAAGCAACACTGATTCCAAAGGAAACTACTAGTTTGGGCCAAGTTTTGGCTTGGATTGAGGTGCAGTTTGATTTCACTGTCTGTCCATCATGCTCTTGCTCCTTTCCTTTCATAGGTGGCAATCCCTAACAAATGGCTTTCATTTCAGACTCCATCTACTTTCAAACCTGTAACATATTTGTTTAATGGGAATAAGAATATGTGTAATTCAGGGAGTTAATGCTACAAAGTGTAAATGTAAATGAAATATATGCAAAAAGCACTGTACTAAAATGCTAAATATGCATGAATAAAGACACATAAAATATTTTTCATATCCTTTGCTGAAAACCTAGTGTCATACAGAAGAATGCATATTCAAGTTTGATGTACAAACTACAAATCTATTCTAAGTCAGTTTCTTGTTCTTGCTTCTTCATCCATTTTGGTAGAGAAATGCTACTGTAATCAAAGAATGTGTGAAGAGATTACAGTGAAGGGACTAGGGTTTGGCTAAGGCAGTCAACAGCCTCAATTCCAAACCCCTGTATTATAGCCATCACTGAGATCAGAAGAAGAAAATGAGCAGGTAAAAAAAAAATAGAAATTTATAATAAAACCATGAAGGAAACAAATTCCTCACTCTAAGCAGGGAAACATCACAGTATTCTTCAGGGTACCCACTGCATCCTGCATTATTGGTTATGAAAATTTCCTCAAAAGCTAGGCTGAGGAAGCCAGCTTTTTCTGGCAGATTCAACATGGGTGCATGCTGTCATGGGCCCCATGAGTACTAAGATTCCAAGGGCTCTAAGGCAATGATGGCAATAACAATTCTCATTGCAGGTAGCTGGATCCTAATACAAAAAAGTTATTTGACTACTAACATTCTTTAAATTATTTTGAGAAATTTATTTTAGGGAGCTTTGAGACAGAGTAAAATCCTGGAATGATATGGGAGCTGACTGTTCAACTTACTGATGGAAATTCAAACTTCCAACAGTCTTGTGTAGGGGGTGACAAAGTTTTTTGTAAAGAACGTATTTTAGGTTTTGCAGTCCACAGTGTTCCCAGCACAACAATTTCAACTCTGCAGTTGTAAGCATAAAAGGATGACGGTGGCTGTGTTCCAATAAGACTTTACTAGACCAGGCGCAGTGGCTAACGCCTGTAATCCTAACACTTTGGGAGGCCAAGGCAGTCAGATCACCTGAGGTCAGGAGTTCAAGACCAGCTTGATCAACATGGAGAAACCCCCGTCTCTACTAAAAATACAAAATTAGACGGGCATGGTGGCCCATGCCTGTAATCCCAGTTACTCGGGAAGCTGAGGCAGGAGAATCGCTTGAACCCGGAAGGTGGGGGTTGCTGTGAGCCGAGATCGAGCCATTGCACTCCAGCCTGGGCAACAAGAGCAAAACTCCATCTCAAAAAAAAAAAAGACTTTACTAAAAAAAAACAAAAAAAGTAACAGGCCGTATTTGGCCCACAGGCTTACCCCTGGCCTAGTGTAATGGAGTCAAAGTATTTACTAACGTCATGGGGTTTTGTCCCTCTAGTAAGCTCTTTAGAAAGAAAAAAAGGTGACTTTCCTGCATGTTCTCACTCATAAGTGGGAGTTGAACAATGAGAACACATGGACACAGGGAGGACATCACATACCTGTGCCCATCAAAGGGTCAGGGGCAAGGGGAGGGAGAGCATTAGGACAAATACCTAATGCATATGGGGCTTAAAACCTAGATGACAGGTTGATGGGTGCAGCAAACCACCATGGCACAAGTATACCTATGTAACAAACCTGCACGTTCTGCACATGTATCCCAGAACTTAAAGCAAAATTTAAAAAGAAAAGAAAAAAGGTGAAATTTATATAGTCATAGACAACACAGTCTATTGGCAGAAAGCATCATGATATTTTCATTGCTCAGTGCACTGGAATTTAGAGGACAGATCAGGACAGGAACCTGACTGCCCTCTTTTAAATCAGCATGGTTCTCAGCATACTTTAGATGCTGTGCAGAGCAAAACACAAGGTTCCAAAATCAAAGATGCTACTTACATTCTCCCCTTAGAGGGTGCAATGCACCTTAGCAACTCACCTGTGAAGTCCTATAGCAAAGACCGTGGAATTCAAAGTGACCCGGTCACCCTATCTTTAGTCCCAGTAGTGATTATTAGAGCTCCATTAGGGATTTGCTGCCCTTGGAGAAAGACTGTGTATCTATTTTTCAAATTTAAACGGCATAAATGCACTTTTATATCATAAAAAATGTTTTGGTAAACACTGGTTTGAGGCCTCTGTATGGAAAATTTATAGGAAGATACAATTGTGAGCCAACTGCAAGTGAAGATGCTATTTAGAGCCACACATAATGAAATAAACCCCTTAGTTATGAATCAGTTATTATATTTCACTGAACTCCAACTGTTTCTTTCTCACTGCTTAATTTCACTCTAGCTTTTGTTATTATGCCTAAAGAAACCATTTTAACATTTTCTCGCATGCACTTTGAGTATCAAAAATTCCATCTACAAGTTTTCAGCTTTTTGCCTCTAATTGCTCCACTGGTTGCTCTAACTGCTTTAATAAATAATATTATCTGAGTTCTGCTAGTTCCAGAATTCTAAGGTCCCTGCATCACATATTATTTATTATTCCTCTAAGGAAAAGAAGGAGCCTTTTTCTATCCAAATAATTTCTTTATAGTCAGAGAGGAGAGAGAGAGAGAGAGAGAGAAAGACAGGAAATGAAGGGAGAATAAAAATGTGAGAAAACAATAAATAAAATCTACCTTCAAATTACTACAAGGTTCTCTACAGGGTGAGATATTTTCACTATAACATTATTGGCATCCTTGGATATCTATGAACTTCTATTCAAAATTCATTAGGAAAGGTTTTCCTCCATGTGACCTTAAAGCTCTACAGTTTGATTTTGTTTACCATTTTCAGAGAGCATGTATAAAAGACTAGTTAGATAAGGCTGAGAGCAGTAGCTCACGCCTGTAATCCAAGAACTTTGGGAGGCCGAGGGGGGCGGATCAGAAGGTTAGGAGTTTTGAGACCAGCCTGGCCAACATAGTGAAACCTCATCTCTGTTAAAAATACAAAAAATTAGCCGGGTATGGTGGTGCATGCCTGTGTTCCCAGCTACTCAGGAGGCTGAGGCAGAAGAATTGCTTGAACCCAAGAGGCTGAGGTTGCAGTGAGCCGAGATTGTGCCACTGTACTCCAGCCTGGGTGACAGAGTGAGACTCTGTCTCAAAAAAAAAAAAAAAAAAAAGAAGACTAGTTAGATAACTGTGAAGGGCTTTGGTTTTTCTGGGGATATTCAGCCAACCTCTGTATTATAGGCTCACAAAGACAGATATTGTGCCTTTCTAGAAATTTCTTGACAAAATGTAGGTTCAGCTGACAATAATTGGACAAAATGTCAGTCAAAATATATATGAATGAATAAATGAATTAATGTGAATGAATGAATGAATGAGTTTCTGAATATGTGACTTAATGAATTAATTACCATTAGTTGAATTCGCAGGTATAGTGAGTTTTTCGAAACAGTGTTGGACGATGTGCTGTTTTCAAATTGGGGACAATCAAATTTTTATTTGGCCATGAAAGTACAAGAATTAAATGAAACAAGTTTTAATTATTTAAAAATACTAGGTTCTTATACGCTGTTGGTGGGAATGCAAAATGGTGGAGCTGTTATGGAAAATAGTATGGAGGTTCCTCAAAAACTTAAAAACAGAATCACTATATGATTCTGAAATCTCACTTCTGAGTATTTATCCCAAAGAATTGAAATCAAGATATTAAAAAGATATTAGCACTCCTATGTTCATAGTATTTACAATAGCCAAAATGGGAAAACAACCTAAACGTTCATTGATGAATGGATAAAGAAAATGTGGTATAGAGAGACATTGAAACACTATTCAATGTGTTTCTCCTTTAAAAACAAGGAGATCCTGCAATACGCAACAACATGAATGAATGTTAAGGACATTCTACTAAGAGATATAATCCAGTCACGAAAGGACAAATACTGCATGATTCTGCTTTTATGAGGTATCCAAAATAGTCAAATCCAAAGAATCAGAGAGGATTGTGGTTGCCAGGGACTGGGGAAAAAGAAAATGGGGCATTGCTAATCAACAGGCATAAAGTTTTAGTTATGCAAAATAAATAAGTTCTAAAGATGTGCTGTAGAAGTTGCACCTATTGTTAATAATACTATATTGTGCACTTATAAATCTTATAAGATAGTGGATCCCTTATTAAGTGCTCTTTACACACACAAACACACCACAAACACACACACAAACAAACATGCTCCTTACAGAAATTGAGAGTTATTGCAAGACTGAGGGAATCAATCAATACACCATCTACTATCTAAATTAATTCCAAGTTTTCTACAGTATGAAATATTTTCACTTTAGCATCCTTAGATATCATGAATCTAAAGACTGCTTTCAGGAGAATTGCTGATGAACAGCCACCCTGGTAACTCAGGTGAATTATAAAAATGCCAGAATACCAGTAGGAAAAAAAAATGCAATGCTTCTGTGTTGAGTGGGTATTTATATTCAAGAGAGGAATTAGGACAACACAGCACTGTGGCCACAATGATCTTATGTTGACCTCCTACTCTGCCTGCTGAATGGCCATCATTTCCACTTTTAACTTAAGCAGCTCATGCAGTCTTATTCAAGGTGAATGCTTGGGAAACAATAGAAAGTGATTTCCTTAGAAAGAATCACATACCATCTCAAAGCCATGGTGACACCCAATACACAATTGAAATAAGTTTATGAAAGGAAAAAAAAAATGGCCCACAGCAGATTTACATGAAAGAACTGACTTATTTCTAGTATCTGTTCTGGGCTAGGAATGTTTACCTTAAATATAAATAATTTGCTGCATATAACAACTTTTCAGAGTGTCTGTCACGAAGTATGGGCTCAATAAACACGACTGTCATCATCGTATTCCACTTTCAAGAATCCATAATCTAGAAGAGCGTGCATAGGTATAGTGGCCAATGATAAGCAGAAACTTGGATTTAACCTCTCGTCCTGCGTTTACGTGCTATATCACTAAGTACAGGAAGCTTATCCTTTTTAAGTTTCCTTCTTTATAAAACTGAAATCATACTAAGTATTTCTTGGTGTCATTTGTAAGAATTACGTGAGATAATACATAATAGGAGCTTAGTATGGTGTCGGATTCATCAAATAAAAATAACATTGTTTTCTCCTTTACCTTGCCCATCACAATCTGGTTCACAGCCAATAATAACAAACCCATACCAGGTGGCTAGGCAGATGAGCAAAGATCACAGCATTTATACTCTGGTTAATTCCACAGATTTGGTTTATTTTTCTTCTTTCCTGATATTCAGTGAGGTCATTTAGAGAATGAATAGTCAATTATTTCCATTATAATTGGTCCTACTCAGTCATCCTAAAGCTTATAGGCCCAGTTGACGAGTTACAGAGATCACAAGGAAAAGAAAGGACTGGGGATAGGCATGGCACCATCATAAGACCCAAGTGCACACCCCAGTTCCACTTCTAACTATTTGTGTGATACTGGGCAAGTTAGTTCTTTAATCCTCAGGTTTCACATCTCTTAAATGGGTATAACCGAGACAGCCAAATGCCTAAGCTGATAAAAGGCCCTTGGAGAATCTCCGGCCTGCCCCGCAAGTGTTTACATCAGATGCTCTTGTGCAGATGAGGGAACTGGCCCAGGGCTGTGTCTGAGCATGTCTACATGCGCACTGGGGGAACAGGGTGGAGCCACGGGCAGGGGGAGAAGCCTGGTCTCCAGTTCCGTGTCCTAGCCGGGAGGATTCAATCTGTGAGGTGGGGAGCCTGTTAGCATGACTCTTATCTTGCTTTGCTGTTTTTTTTTCCCTTTTTGCCCAATAAAATCCTGTCCTACTCACCTTTTAATGTGTCTGCGTACCTAAATTTTCCTTGTTATGTGATAAGAACCCAGCTTTAGCTGCAACATAATGACTCCACATATATATACTAGAAGTGTTAGAGAATGAAACAAGTATATGTTGCACAGGTCCTGATATATACCAAGCACTCACTAGTAACAACATCCGTAGCAGTAGCAGGAGAAAATAAGACTAAATGAGATCAATTAGACTATTTAGCCTATAGCTGTCAAAGAAAAAACACAATTCTGCACACAGCCACCTAGATGAATCTCTACTAAAATAAGTTTTAGGTTCTTAATTTGCATTTAAGATGTGAAATTGATGGTGGCTTACCTTTTATTAACTGGTAACCCTACTAGCTACCACATATTTTATTCAATATTGTCACTTAATCATCTCATTAACACTGCAAGAAAGATGATATTATCCCATACGGAGGAGAAAACTGAATCTCAGAGAATTCCAGAGACTAGTTCTCCGACTGGGAAGTAGTAGTGATATGATTTCAACCTTAGTCTCCCTAAATTCAAAATATGTCATATTTTAAATAATTTACACAACTTTATTTTACATTAGTGAAAGACATAGTATTGCAGAAAGTAGCAAGGAACTAATTAATGTTCCTGCAAGTGAGAGGGTAAGATGACGGATTTTTCTCTATGTCACTTTTCATTTTCCCCCGTAAAGGAATATACAGACAAATACATACAGATAGAGATATAGTAGTAGGTATAAGAAGTCAAAAATACATGATATTTCTAGCTTGACAATGTGCTCTAAAAAGAAATTGAACCGCGTGAGAAGCCAACCAACCAACAAATAACTGTATGTTTTAGCATGGCAGATGCTGGGATAACTGCCTATTTCTTGCTGGATAGCAAATTAAACGTTATCCTAAAAGATGGATACATTCTTGTCAGTGTATAAAATACAACAGTCCTAAAGAGAAAATAATGCATAGCTATGTGTTACCCAATAATTCCCTGAATATCCATATCCTCTGGTTCTGTCTAAAAAGGTTAAATGGCTCTAAATCTGTCTGCTAGACTCATAAGGAACTATGCATTGCTCTGGCTAGTCAGGAAATTTAATTTTCTTCTGAAATTAACCAATTGTGCATAGAGAGAGGGAAGCTGCTCTCCATGATCCAACTGGGGTGGAGGTGGGGGCAGAGGACTGTAGAACTGCAGAACAGATGTTGAAAAATATGGTTTGTGATTCTTAAGTTCTCATCCCATGGAGCCAAGCCAGGTTTAATAAAAAATGTGTGGGCTCCCCCTTCTGAATGACATGCCAAAGGCTGCTGTAAATGCTTTGAAACAGCATTTGTCCCTTCTTTGGGTAGAACCATAGATGCTGAAGAACTAGCACTTGCCTGACATCTATCAGAAGCACAGATATGCCTGTGTCATCAAATAGTGCTTTATCTGTCCATCTCTTCCTGGTAAAAACAGTCTCAAATCCCCTTTAGCTTTCCTGAAAATGAAATGCTTCTAAGCTGGACAGTTATTTCTAAACAGCCTCAAGCTTCCTCTACACAAACTTTCCTGCCAGTAACAGTAATAAAAGTAGCAATAGCAATAATAATAACTAGCAACTACAATGAGAATCTTCTCTTGATTCCCTGTGAACTGGAATTAGTATCAGTAAATCTCCATTTTTACATCAGTAAAATGAATAGATTATAAAATGTGCAACCATATGTGGACAACTATGAACCTGGATTTATAGCTAGCTCTGCCAATAAGATGCTACTTTTACTATGGCATGAAAGTTCCTTAAGCCTCATCTCTAGATGATTAAGATCGTGTCTCTGCACAGCCAGTCCATTCCCACTGGTACCATGTAGTCCATGTTGGGAGCTTATATTATTGTGCTGATATCTGAACCCTTATTTTCCCTAAGGACCCTTGGCTTGGCAGACTCTGAAGCCCTTACATGCTCCTGGCTGACAAGAGTAGAAACCTTGTCAAATCAAGCACTAAAACCGGTCCTCTGATTGGTGTCTCAGTTGAACCAATCTCATTTCCTCCCTTCACATTCTTTCTCCTGCTTGGAGATGTAAAGGATGTGGCAACTACTCCTTTTTGAGTTCCTTTCAGAGGAAATTGAGAAACATAGGAACAGGGCAGATTCATCCACTCAACAAATATCATTGTCCCCATTAATGTCAGCATTCCAGCATAAAGCCATTGCATAATTTCACTATATTTTCCGGAAATTAATGCCAATGTAAATTTTTTTTTGGATATTCCTCCCATTGCATTCAACATTGGCCCATTAATAGATATAATTTTCTTAGCCAAATACCCTTATTTTTTGCATATGTCTATAGTTTGTGAAATTTCTTTAGAACTGAGAATGGCCAATGGACCATTTCTCAAATCCCCAGGTAGTTTCATCTTCTTAGAGGTTAGACTCTTCTGCAGGAAGAGTCTTCTTTGCATACTTATTGGCTGTAGTCTTATTTGTTATTCTGAATTTAGAAATGATTTGTACTTAAAAACAAAAAGTGCTCTTCTGGGTCTGTAAATAATTTTTGTACAAATTCAACTTATTTGGGGTGCTGATTGTCCTGCAAGGTTTTAATCTCAGCCTCATAGTCTCAGCACCCTTGTGAGTAACAGGAATTTAATACATTTTTTAAAAAATCGAATAAATAAACCGACAGATAACTCACTTTACCAGGGTTTCCCCAAATGAAGTAATTGGAAGCAGGTCTGCCCTAGTTATTTGTGACTTGTAAATTGAAAGGGTTTGGTATGAGCTGACATCAAACTCAGAAATCAGCTGGACAATTCTTTAAAATTGTATTCCTCCATCTACTTCTTACTCTCTATCTCCTTGATTTTGCAACAAATATTTGTAAGACAATATTTGAAATCCACACTCAAAACACATCATTAGCCAACACTTCACCCTTGGAGACCAGCATAGAAGTTATAGATTTTCAGTGTGCTTTCAGGAGAAAGCTATTTAGCTGGAGAACCTGTACTGTCATTTGGGTGACTGGAAAAAGAAAAAAGATGTGTACAGTACAACAGAAAAAAAAAATCGAATGGAGCTTCATTTCTAAAAAAGACAGAAAAGCTTTAATAAAGAATTATTTCGCATCCTGGGGAAAAATTTTGAGCAGAAAAACTATAAACAGAGGGTATTTTTGAAATGGCAGAGAAAGATTTTTATCTAGGAGACACCAAACCAGATATGCTGACCTATCAGAAATGTCCAAGAAGTAATAAAAAGATCATTTCAAAGCCAAACACCAAATGCAGAAATAAAATAGGAGCCTCTTAATGCATTGACACTATGGTCTCGTGCCTCTAAATTCTAATATATAATTCACCATAACTGTCAAAAGAGACAGAGGACAAACTAGCAATGCTTCCCCAAAGCTAAACAAACAAACAAAAAAAGCACTAACAAACAAAAACATAAAAATAACAAGATCCACCCAAATGTATTGCAAACATTTGCAACTTTGCATTTTCATAGAGCTCTCTAAGAGCTGGAATAGCTGTATTCATCTTATTGTTCCTGGCTCTGGGCTCTATGTAGCACTTAGTAGGCATACGTGTGCGTGTACACACCACACACACACACACACACACACACACACAGTATGTGCCAACCAACATTATTTGGTCATGTGAGCATAGTCCCAAGGAGAGCCCCACAGAAGGTACAAGCAAAGGCATTTTTCACTGATCTGCTTGTCATTTGCAGTAGCCAGTATTCCTTTTAAAATAAAAATACCTTATAGGACTGGAAGTGATATCAGGGTCACGAGCAGTCACTTGCCCAATCACGGAGTTTAGAGCAGCATTTTCATGAACTTCAAGTAGGTAAGTCGGTGAAGAGAAGACCGGAGGCTCATCAGCATCTTCAACCACGATTTTGACTGTCGCCGTGTCTTTAAAGGGCCCCCTGCCACTGAAGCGTGGGTCAATATGGACATTGGCTGCCTCTACCTTTAGCGTATAGGATTTTTTGGTCTCAAAGTCCAGAGGCTGTTAAGAAATGACAAAGATAAATGCTTCTCACTAATGACCACAGCAGCAAGAACAAATGAGTATAATGCTGATGGATGAAAGTTATGTGCATTTAAACCCATTTGTGAGCCTTAATGGGATCACTCTCCAGTCCCCCAGATTCAACCTGTAAATTTTATGGGCATTTATTTATGTCTGTTTATTATATAAGCTCAGTGAATCTAATCTCCTATTGTTTTGTTTTGCTCATTTCACTTGGAATTCACAAAATATTCACAGTCATGAATTGTGCCATCAAAATTTCACTTCAGAGTCATAATAAAATTTTACTAGTGACAGCATGACCTGCATACTAATCAGCCACTTAATCAGGCCTCTGCTGGTGGGAGATAAGGCGACATCGAACACAATCTCTGTCTGGGAAGAATATTTTATCATTTCTGCAACAGAGTGTGAAATGTAAAGAACTAGAAATAATCATTGTTTAGTCCAAGGAGACATTATAAAGCATAATTTAGCACTAATCCCCACAAAGAGTATTTTCTGATTTCACTTTAAAGCATTGCTACTCTACTGATCATGTGGTTAAAATGAGGTTTATTATTTTTTAGGACATTCTTAGAGACTCTCTATTATGAATTTATGCTATGAGGCAGGTGGGCATGTAAAGAAATATGTGCACCGATACATATGTATGTACTTGTGTTTATATTTAGAAGAAGAAATTATGTGAGCAGTATAAATAGATAACTGAATCTAATTGTGCCCCCACAAACCACTTAAAAGCAATTTGAAATTACCTCATTGCACCATTACTGACAATATTTCTGACATACTAATACTTCATTCCCTAAAACTCTGAGAGACTTTGGTCAATGACCTAGGTAAGTAAAGCTAGGTAAAAAGAATTCGCCTTCAATAAGCCAGAAGCCCACGTGCATTAGCACCTTTATAGCCCAATTTTTGGCAACTCATAATACTTCAGATTTCAAGAATGCAAGTCTGTCGAGGTTCAAAGAGACAGTATACATCTGCATTACAAATTTCTCATAAGAAATAGAACTTTAAATAGGCAATGAAGATTTTTAAAAATAAACTAGAAGACAAACTGGCACCAGTGAACTCTTTCAGAATTCCAGTACAAGCTTAATTATATATTCTTATTTCAAACTATTGTGTTGGTTTTCACATTTAAATTCTGATCTAATGGGACTTGGCTCCTTTTTTTTTTTTTTTTTCAATATTTTCTAGTAAACCAGGCAGGCACTCACTTTACTATCTATTCTAAAATTACTAAGCACATGCATCCATGAATAGATCATGCAACATCAGCATATTCACAATTTGCCAATCACCTTTACTGTAACAATTTTGCAATTTCAAATTCTTCACAAACATCGTTAAGTATAACAGATTATGTTCTGCTTAATTCCAGCTCAAGATAACAACAATGAACCCAGACACATTCTGGTGTCCCAAGAATTTTATTGGACAAAAAAGAGGGCCTATAAATTGTAGAAATACAACTCCTTTGCACTGTTCTCTAGGGTAAAATACACATTTTACTTGGTGTCAAGGTGTATAGTATATGCTTCCAAGTTTATGAATAACAGCAAATAAAAATAAAGTAAATGGCTAATTGTTTCAGTTTATAACAGCACTTTATGGCAAAAAAAATGGGAATAATAACAATAAAAATGACATTAGGAATCATTAGTCAAGGAAAATGTGGCTCTGGGTTATTCAATAATTGACTCAAATATTGTACTCTACTTTATTTCAAACATGGCTTTTTAAATGTTTTGTAGTTCTTAATGCTAAACTCAACCAGGATTTTGGTAGAAAGATAGCATTGCTCAACAGAGAGTTAAAATAAATGTAGACATCTTTTTCAAAATTGATTTTTAAAAATATGTTTTATAAAAAAGAATATCCAGAAAACTTTAGGTCTCCAGTGTTAAGATCTCTTCAGTGGGGGCGATTTTTAGAGCAAGACCATTGGAAATATGTCTCGTGTAACATGATGGAGATTCAGATATGACCTTACAGTCATATCTACATAATGCTGATGAAGAAAGTGAAAAAAATTATTGACTCCCAATAGTGTGGTCCACCAACTACCTTATTTGAGAACAAGCTAATCCATTTAAAAGCTAGTTTGATCTACTTGATGACAAAGGTTTGAAGAACAATATTGAAGAAAATAATCAGGATGAGGATCAAAGAGTATTTTCCTTGCAAGTGTTTTGTGACTATAAAGAATGAACTATGTTCTACACATTTCTTATGAGTGTAGGTATTATGATGAGAACTATAAATGGAAAATGCTGTACAGAATTGTTTACATCTACCATAAAAACAAGAGATTGCTAACAAAAGCAGCCTCAAATTTTCCTACATTATTTGTACTTGTTATGGAGATCTTTCTTTTTTCAATGGTACCTCCCTATCCAGAAGCAAGGGAACGATGAGATTCATTTCCCATAATGCTCAAACCTCTGAGCCATAGTTTGGAGTATACAATGGTAGCAGGGTTGGCCCTGTCCTTCAGGGACTAGAGAAAGCCAGGATAACTGAACCTGAATGTTCTGCCTGTTTGGTTTTTTTTTTTTTTTTTTTTTTTTTTAGTTTCCATGAATGTACAGCCTTCAATAAGGACTTGGGAAGCTTCAGTGTATTTGGGGAAGATATTTCAGGAAGCAAGAGTTCAAACATGTGGAGAGTTATATACAGAAAGACCAAAAGCCACTGAACTTGTCACCTCTGTGGGCAACTGAGGCCTGTTCTTACTGAGAATCCTTTTACAATCTTAAACAATATGACTCAGAATAGTTTCTTCAAACAATAGTAACTGTCCACCAATTTTTCTCCCCCTTTGGTTGAGGGCTGCCTTCACAGGATGTTGACTTCCCCACATAATTGAAGTGCCCTGTACAAGAAGTCAGTAAATTCCTGTGGTTATGGGTAATAGGTAAGTTGGAGGACAAGCACTATTATGGTAGCTGTTTACTAGACCTTTAGCAGAAATGTGAAGGGGGCCCAAGAGATAAGAGTTGCCAAAAGGACTGTACTAGTTATCTTGTCTTACTGCTCAAAGCTAAACACCTACCAGCTGTGCAATTCTGCCAGGAACTCCACACAAGTCCCTCAACTTTAAAACTCAAGTTTCAACAAGATATTTTGAAGATGAACAAAAGCTTCCTTAGCTTACTTTTCTTAGCCTTATAATGCCATCCTGGGCCTGGGCATCAGAAGTGATTTCAAAAAGTGCTGTTCCATCTCCATCGATGATATCATATGATGACTGTGCATTTTCACCAATATCCTGATCATTGGCCTTCACCCTTCCTATTGCAGTGCCAAGAACCACATCTTCCGGTACTGAGAAGTGATACAGGCCTTTAAAAAGAGGAGAAACAATGAGAGTCACACAAATTCCAACCATTCATTCATTCATATGGCAAATATCTTTTGGGCACCTCCTTTGTTCTGGGCATTCCTATAGATGCTACCAATAAAGTGATAGAAAAGACAGAAATATCCGTTTCCCTTCTGGAATGTTCAGTCTTTTAACTGAATCAGAGAAAAACAGTTCCCAGAAGAAGGCATGATCCCTTTTCAAGGCTCTTCTGAGATATGAAACTTACTCAACCATATGTTTACCAAGTGTATATTTGGAGCAGTTATATCAAGACTATTAGGGAATCTATGTGTATATTTTTTCCTTTTTGCTGTATAATCACATTTACTGCCCATGGGGATATTCGTCGTTGCCAACATAAAATATTAAGCTAATTTCAGCACAGAAAGATGCAATGTGTAACACACTGGAAGTCACTTTTGAACTTACCTTTATATTTACAGACTTTTAGACCATTTTTGATAAAATTCAATTACTGAACTTCTGCTGTGCCCTGCAGCAAGCTGTTCAGACACATGAAACACTCCTCTTGTTGCTAAAGTCCTCATTGCTCTAAAGACAAAAATCCTGCCTTCAACACTTCCTAGGCAAAATACAATCAAGTGTATCTTCACTCTCCTATGGGGGCAATAAAGTGTGTCTAATTAGTGTCATTAGTCCATTTTAACTCAAGTCACTTTAGTTGTTATACTGCTGTCACTCACTTTCACTGGTGTAGAGGAAGCTGTTGGTGTCCCAATCATAACCCCCGGCCATTGTTACTGTAGTGTACACCTGTCTTACATCTAACTGCCACTCCTGCATTTCTTTGCCTGAGGGTTATTGCGGGCCTTTAGAACCTATTTTGCCCACTGAGTGTCAGGCCAAAAATGCCAGAAAATTAATGCCTCCTGCAGAAGCAGCCCTCAAAGACTCACAGGAGTTAGTATATAAAATTCTAGGTCTCTCCATTCTGTGGCAGGATAACTTTGAGTTTTTTCTTTTCTTTTCCTTCTTTACAATGGTCCAGAGTTTCTCCAATAAGATAAAGTTCCAGTAACCCACTGTAGTAACTGGCTCAAAAACGCACCTTTTTTTTTTTTTTTTTTTTTTTTTTTTTTTTTTTTTTTTGGCTATTTCTCTCTCTGTCTCTCTCTCTCCTTTCTCCACTGGCATTTATTGGTCCCATCTCCGAGTTAAACTTACAATCAAATTCTTGTCTCAGGGTCTGTTTCTGGGGAACCCAAACTCAAAAAACCAAAAAGTTTTACTCTCCTTGCAACCACAACAAGGGAAAATTAAACATTCAATGACCTAAAAACCCAAAAGGAAAAATCAAATCTGGAGAACATTACCTAATTCTCATTCGAGCTCAAATCCACTGAGTCCCTTGGATAAACTAAGGCTCATTATACTCAACATAACAGTAAGGTTTCTTCTAGCACTAACACCCCTTTATTTAACAATGGGATAAAAACATCTCTCTTAGAATCACGAAGTTATAGGACTGGGGATTGAAATATTTTCCAAATAGTTCTGCCACAAGGTAGGCACTGAAAATCCTCACTGCAAGCGAAGTCTCCCAGTTTTCTCATAATTGGTGTAATGATTCCATTTTCCACAAACTGTATATTCCAAGTAAGGTTTGAGATGATCCCTTTTGGTATGCTTATTAAATAAATAAGACAGCAAGGGGCCGCGCCGTGCTGCTAGTCCTACATGGGGAGTCTTGGGAAGCCAAGCAAATGGAACATTCTTTTAACCATTCCTATTCTGTGCCTGCTCCTCATCTCTATCAGTGTGATCACAGTTAATAGTTATTATCTCTAAGAAAAGGCACACGTTTGAAATTGATCTGCCATTATTTAATTGAATAATCATTTTCTTATAATGAAATATGGCATCTTGCAGTATTCACTGTAATGGCAACTGCAAAGGCAAAAAAAGTGAGGGAAAGAGTAGAAGAAATGGTGTTCTCCATTTCAATAATTTTGTTTAAAAAGGTTGCATTGTTGTCTGATTTATGAATTGCCAGATGTAAAAATTCTAAAATTCTTAATGAAAATGCATCTCCTCTATCCTTTCTAGCTTGGAATTTCTTCAGATAAATCATCAAAGATACCTCAAATGTGTCATTTTCAAGCTCCATACACATTTCTCTCTTTGTCACTCTCTCCCTGTCTCTCCCCACCCCACCTTCCCTCCTTTAACTCTTTAAAAAACAGATTTCCTATGGTGTTTTCTATACCAACAAATAGCACCAGCATGCATCTAATCTTTCATGTTAGAAATATTATCATTTATCTTCCTCAACTGAAAATGCAATCTTTCCTTAGACTTTTATCTTCTGTGACTCAACTATGCATCACACTCATACACTTTTCTCTGCATCCAACACAACTACCCTTGCTTGCCAGGGCTACCATCACCTTTTATGTGAATGATTGCAAATAACTCTTTAACTGGCTGCAAAGCAGAAAAAAACATTGGAGGAAGGCCAGATTTAATTTCTTTTCAGTTTCGCTGGAACCACAGCCTATCACTCAAGCTGCAATTTAAAATCTTTAAATGGCCTCCTAATGATCTTAGGATAAAGGTCCTCATAGGTCCTCATACTTAAAATGGCTTTTGAATCCAAGTATGGCTAATTTCAGTCTAATCTAACTCTCCAGACTCTTGCTGCAGCACTTTCCCCTGGCACTCTCTGCTCCAGCTGCAGTGAAATTATTTCCATTCCCATACATGGCTGTACACCATCCTTCCACAGAGCTTCTTTTGTTTTATTATTGACTATATTTAAGGTGTACACTGTGATGTTTTGATAAAAGAAACCACTGCCTTGGAAAGATGTCTGCACTTTCATGTTCATTCCAGGATTCTTCAGAATAGCAAAGAAATGGACATCACCCAAGTATCCACTGACAGATGAATGGCTAAAGAAGTTGTGGTGTATATTTATACAATGAAATATTATTCAGCCTTTAAAAAGGAGATCCTGTCATTTGCAACAACATGAATGAACCTAGAGGATATTATGTTAAGTGAAATAAGCCAGATCAAAGGAAAAAAAGCCCTGCCTGATCTTACTTATATGTGGCATCTTAAAAATAATAATAATAATAATAAGTATGTAGACACAGGGCTTTTAAACATCCTTTTAAGCTGCACTATTCATCCTCCCTCCCATGGCTTCACCTTGTTCCAACTAATTGTTTTCACTTTTTCATGTTTCAATTCAAGAGTCCCCATGTCAGAAAGGCCTTATCAAATCATGTCTCTGTCATATTACTTGAATAAATGCTCAGAAGAAAGTGTTCGATGAGAGTAAAGAAAGTTGTCAAATAATTATTGTCTCCCTGATTCTTTCATGTTGGCTGCCTAGAATGCACGCTGTTGAAATTTCCAAGGCAGAGTATGGCTTTAGCAGGGAAGAGTGGAGTCTTACTGATGTCCTCCCAGTTGCAGGAAGAAGGAGTGTAAATTTTGCAGCAAGCCTACTGCATATTTGTCTTCCCTACCTCGGGCACTAGAGATTTGATTTCCTTTCTAAAACAAATGGGGCTAATAATAGAGCAATATCTGAGCTTCATTTGCATCACCCTCTCAAGCTTTCATAAAGAGAAATAGCAGGCAAAAGAGAAAGGAGTGCACAACTTGCAGTCAGACATACTGGTTCTAATTCTTACTTACTATACGCTTGATATTTGGAAATGGTATCAACTGTTTTGTAATCTGTAAAATGGGAATAAGTTTAGTACCAAAATCATGCCATACCTGGCACATAATAAGCCACTCAATAGTTGCTGTCAGGTTTTTAATTATCACTAAAAATTATAATATAAATTCAAATGGAAACATCATACCAAGATTCTCATCCAGTGCAGGAAATTAACTTACTCTGTGCAAATTTTGGAGGATTGTCATTAACATCAGTAAGAGTCACTGTAAGTGTCGTGGTCCCAGACAGGCCACCAGAGTGTCCACCCATATCTTTGGCTTGGATAACAACCAGGTACTCCTCCTTGGCTTCTCTGTCCATGTTGGGAAGGGCAGTTTTTATAATAGCTGAGGGGGAAAATGGAAGAATGACTTTCAGTCACAGAGCTAATTCAAAAATGAAAGTGTTAATCTCACACATGCACACATACACACAAGCATACACCAAGTCCCTAGTCAGATAATTTTCTGTGTTCTTCTGACATTTGATTGGTGTGTGCCTGTTACATCAATGAGAAAGACTGTGGTCATAGACATTTACAGATAATTTGCAAAAATATATTTTATAATGTATAAAAAGAACTTGCAAAAATATACATTAGAAAGTAAACTGAATGGCATCCCTTGCCTACCAAATTATAATGTATATCATAACACAGTCTCGTCCACCCCAGAAAACCCTGGGAGTGAAAGAATTCTCCAATTTATCACAGATCTCAATTCCCCCACAGGAGGAGTAAATACACACATAGCTTGAAGGCTCTGAGGTCAAAGATAAATTATTCTGAAGTTCACAGATACATTTGAGAGATGAAATAAATAAATGTGTCATTAGAATCAACTCAGATGAATAAAATACCAATCAGAATTAATATAGTCAAGTGTCTTAAGTTCTAATCTACTGTTCAGCTATATTTATATTTTAATTCTTTAGATACATCTTCTCTTTGTAAAAGTAGCAAATAGTTTAGAAAAATAGGAAGATATAGGAAAAGGTGTATAAAATATAAAATTACATAAAATACGATAAAATTATCACTGCTCAAATCTTAATGTTTTTTCTTCTGATATATATTCAGCGTTTCATGTGGGTTTGTCTGTTTGTTTCACTGGTAATTTAATATTCTTGTTAAAGATCCAAAATTTTCTTAGATCCTCCTGAAGTTTATTTTGAAAATCAAAAATCCTTATTTAGCTCTCTACCTCCACATATTTTTTTCATAGATAACGCTGACATTTTGAGGCGCAAAATTATAAGGCCATGATATGTACATACCCAGAAATGTGAGTATAAACATTTAACCACAGACATGATCATGATGTAGGCAGCATTCTGAGACTTTCTTTTTCTCACAGGAGATGTTTTTGAAAAACTTCCTTGTCACTGCATAGAAGTTCACCTCATTACTTCCTACAGTTGCATAATTTTTCATTGTACAATATACTATACATGGCTAAGGCATTCTCATATTGATAAATATTGCAGTTATTTCATATTTTCCCATGTCAAACAACTGACAGATATATTAGTATGATAATATTGTATTTTTTTATTTCCTGCATTTTTACTTAACTCTGTCATAAGATGCCCCTTCCCCATATTGCTAAATGTCCATAATAAAACTTATTTTGACTAGTCCAGAATACTTCTATTGAATTGATGTGTGTTACATTTCTGGTCAAGCTAAAAGGAAAATGTCCAGATTAAAGACAATTTAACCCCTTCACTTCTAACCCAGGGGCACCATACATGTTCAATTCAAATTGAAGCTGAGCCATTGCCTTGGCCACTTCTGAAGTTGTAATTCTTTTTTTTTTTTAATTCATATGGTTTATTTAAATCATCTGTCTGTAAAAGCACTGCAAGGAGTTCAAGTCCCTAAATCTTTTGAGTAGCAAGTGAGTCCCAAGAGTTACCAGGGAAATACAATGCACCTACACAGGGAGCAGGCTCTGGGGAGAACTGTGAGTTCTTATACACTTTATTAGACTCTGACACAACTTTAATAATAGGGCTTCCCATTCAGGGAGCACTGAATTAGATAACCTTGCTTATTTGGAAACATTTGTAATACTACGATGATATTTTTCAATGCAATGCTTTGTTTCAGGATTTGATCACATCATAATATAGCTTATAGGTCATACCTATATAGTTAGAAATAAAAACAGAAATAAAAGTAGAAATATATCAACCATTCAGATTTAGATCACTCTGAGGCATGTTTGAGAAGAAAACAAACAGATAAGCAAAAAACAGCAACAAAGACAACAACCTCATTATATTAGCATGTTGAGATACCAAGATAGCTACTCTGCTATGAATATACATTTTCATGACCTAGAATGTTTTCATTATGGCTCAAATTTTCAGTAAAAAAGATTGAAAACATTGTTTTCCTCCTGTGACATTTACATGAATGCTTGTACCACCACATTCTAAGGTCATCACCAATTATGCCATCCACTGGACTTTGGAATTTGACATGGAGCTTCTAACAATCAGAGCAAAATAATGTTGTTCTCCAAGGAAGGCAGCAATTTTTTTCAAGAAAGTTGATGAGGTGAGGTCTATGCATGAGACTTCTCAGGTTACTTGCGTGAAAGAACTCCTGCAACTTCTCTGAGTCAAAAAAGATTGGTATGTATTATTCTCATCATTTCTTTTATATGTTGTGAAAGTGAAAATGTAAAACAAAACAAAACTGTGATGTCTCTTAGGCATTTGGAATTAAAATAGTTTTTTTACTCACTTGGAAATAACACCTTTGGGTTAGTGTCTACAAGTTATATCAGAATATGAGTGAAGCGTCACAGTGGAGAATGTTGTTTAGCAAATAGGACAAGAAATGCTCCATGGGACTTCATCAATTGCAAAAGTCTTTTTACCCTCCCCCATTGAGGTAAGCAGCTTCATACTACCTAAGATGCATATACAGTTGACTCTTGAACAACACGGGAGGTAAGGGGCACTGACCCCACGTACAGTTGAAAATCTGTATGTCATTTTTGACTCCCCCAAAACGTAACTGCTAATAACCTACTATTGACCACAAACCTTACTGATAACACAAACAGTCGATTAACATATAAATAGAATAGTGTAAGAGGCTTGTGAAACTGGAACAACTCCATCTTGAATAGGGGTTAGGTAAAATAAGGCTGAGACCTTCTGAGCTGCATTCCCAGACAGTTAAGGCATTCTAACTTACAGGATGAGATAGGAAGCCAGAACAAGATACAGATCATAAAGACCTTGCTGATAAAACAGGTTGCAGTAAAGAAACTGGCCAAAACCCACCAAAACCAAGATAGCGACAAGAGTGACCTCTGGTCGTCCTTACTACTGCACTCCCACCGGCACCATGACAGTTTACGAATGCCACGGCAACTTCAGAAAGTTACTGTATATGGTCTACGAAAGGGGAGGAATGAATAATCCACCCATTGTTTAGCATATCATCAAGAAATAAGCATAAACATGGGCAACCAGCAGCCCCAGGGCTGCCCCTGTCTATGGAATATCCATTCTTTTATTCCTTTACTTTCTTAATAAACTTGCTTTCACTATTCTACAGACTTGCCCTGACTTCTTTCTTGCACAGCATCCAAGAACCCTCTTTTGAGGTCTGGACTGGGACCTCTTTCTGGTAACAATAGTATCTACACACGTTTTATGCATTCATGACATTCATTTTTCTTAATTTTTTTAACATTCTAGGCTACCTGGTTCATCTGTCAATTTTTCCAAATTGTTGAAAATCTCAGAAAAATTTACAAAATATTTATTGAAAAAAATGTACTTGTAAGTGGACCCTCATAGGTTAAACCTGTGTTGTTCAAGGGTCAACCATATATTTTCAAGTTTGATTCCTCTTACCAATGCTGCCCTCATAATTGAAATCAAGCAAGTTTGTATTTTTTGTCTTAGTCTTAACCTTACCAACTCTGTGACCATGAATAAATTATTAAACTCATCCAAACTCCATATCCTCTCAATCAGAGATAATAACCAGCTTCTCACTGTGGACATTCCAAGATGATGTGAGATAATTCAGGCAAAGTTCTTGGTACACAGTAGTTACCCAAACACACTGTTCCCCTTCCCCAACGTGACTTTTTAATGCTTATGTTGATGGTGGCTAGAGTACAGAATATTCTACAATTGCTCCCACAAGTCCACTGCCCAGCCCTACCCACCCAGTGTTGGCATGTAAGGGTGGCCTTAATAGATTGCCCCAATTAACTCCTTTACTTTCTGGCTTTTTGTTAGGCTCCACCAATATACATTAACCTAGGAGGCTGTGCAACTGGCTCCCCCAAAGACTCCTGCAAAGACTTTATTCCTGTATTTGGCCACTCAGGTTATTATTTAGAGATATCGTTAAAGTAAAATTCTATCTAGTGTCCAATAACTGCCACCTTCCTTTGTTCCTTAAGGTCTAGGAGTCTTGATGGTACTTCTATCGCTAGCATCTGGTGCTGCATTCTTCCATGACGGTCTCTCTTAACCAGGCCATACTTTTGTCAATTGTCCCTTTGTTAAATTCTCCTCAATTGCCTCTTTCCTGACAAGATCCCAAAATACACGTTACAAAACTGGGACTCTGTCCAAGTGCCAAACATTTTGCCTGCATGTCACTCCTACACAGACATCTATAGTTCAAAAGTACTTCAGTGTAATAATGTACTGCGGTCCAGGCCTGCTCCTTAAGAAGGCAGGGCAGACTGTTTTCTTACCTGTAAAATGAGAGTAATACCTATTCATTTAAGTGGGTTGCTCAAGATGACCCCACTGGGAAGCTGCACCTCTGAGAATCTTTGCATCTCCTCTTTCCTTCCACAACATTGGGAGTAGGTTTTCTGATCTCTAAGGCGAGTAGGAAGTCTCTCCAAGGTTTCTTTAGAACACACAGTGCAGTTAATTGGCTTCAATTCAAACTGAATAATGAACAGCTCTTGCTTTCCCGAGTCCACTGCCTCTAGTCTCAACCCCATGACTAGCAGAAACTCATTAAAACATCCAAGACAGAATTTTTGGAATGCTTTTTATGCTATTTTGTAGCTGGAAAGGCAGGATAGGGGAAACCACAATTGTCCTGGATCCTCTTATTTTTCTTTTTGTGTTGGGCTTATCTACACATATTACTTAACTTTACTATTCCTATTCACAATGTATTTCACTTCCATAGATACTTCAAGATATTGACAAGCTCCAAAAATAGAAAATGAAAATAGCCTTACTATTCTCTTCTACTTCTTTTCTCCTGTTTTGGCTAACATATCTCCCAAGCACTAGTAGTTTCAGGCTGTTTCTTTTATGAAAAGAAATGTGTTTGATGAGAAACTCTGCATCCAATAAAACAAATTAATGAATAAACAAAATTATGGACAAGAGATAACTCCCCTATTTTAAAAATCATTGTTTGGTATGAAATGCCACCTAATACAGAGCACAAAATATAGTAATTAGGGAAGACTGTTTTCAAATTTAAGAAGGATTTAAATTCTCAGATTTGAGAAGTCAAAAGTCAAAAATTTTGAACTGTGAATGCTAAAAAGTGACTTAAAACTTCAATAAAATGGCATTTCTTATCCATTTTCAACTTTTATTCTAAAAAGCCAGAGAGAGGATTCTGACTCGCTATTTGCCAGAATAGTTTATTTTGGCAAATTAGTTTAATTTAAAGCAAATTTTGATGGTGCTACGTTAAATAACATCCCGTTGCCCAAGACATAAATTGTGTCTATCTTTTTTCATAAATGGCCAAGCAGCAGTAGTGTCCATGTCCCTAGCATGCTTACAGTCACACATTCTCAACACTCAGCAACATGTTCAGAAGCTCACATAAGTTTAACCTTCCATTACACCGGTGCGGCGACAAGTTAGTGGTCTCAAGTTTAGGAGAAGCCATGTGACAAAATGCTTTCCTCTGAAGCAATTAGTAAAATTCTTGATGTGAATATTTGATAAATAACCTCACAATAAAGAAAACAGCTTAGATCATTTTTTCCAGCATAGAAATTCCAGGATAAGAGTATTGAGTTGATAAAATTATCTGATCACAACTTTTATTTTTTACTTTTGTAAATTTCCAACAGTAATGTTTCTAGGGTTTAGATTTAGACCATTTCATAATCAGCTAGCCTTGGACTAACACAGAACATCCCTGGGACAAACTTTTTTCCTTGAAAGTGGGGGGCTGTAACATTTTGTAATTTTGAGAAGGAAAAATCACACTTGGTATTCAGGGGTACCTATGCCTCCTGGAGTCTCAGTAGCTTAAGTTGCATAGTAGTTCCAGATGAGAGAATACAAATGATTATATTTTAGAAGTTTCCCTGGAACTTCATTTTGAAAATTCAAGCAAACAAGAGAATTCAACTAATGAGAACCCTCCATTCTCCATGAAGTTCATTCAATGGAAATTTGAACCTGGCACTGGGGAGTAGAAGATTAAGGGGTGAATTCTAGTAGAAGAATTACAAGGAAAAGGAGGATCATCTTGTTTAAAACCAACATTCATTACCTAGCTGTGAATAGACTCGTGTTTGATTCTCCTGTATTTAAGATATGATTTTATCTTTATGTTATTCAATCAAATGGAGATTTTCCTGGTTCAGGAGTTTAAGAATTTAAATCCTAGACTGGCCTAAGTTCCTCTTAGTGCTCAACAGCTGTTTCTTATGTCTCATCATCCAGGGAGTATTTCTGATTAGAATCCAGCTTCAGTCATCTCAAAAACATTAAACTTGTGTGTGTGTTATTTTTTCTTCCCATTGTCTTTGGCGTTATCATTTGAGAAGCATTTTGTATCCGTCACGAAGATTTCTTTTTATAATTTCTGTGATATCACCAGATTGAGAGGCTTCACAAGAAAGGCAAGGGGATGCTGATTGACTCTTTTGTCATTTTGAAGGCTGATTACTGTAATTCACTCTTCACGGGTCTCCCAGATTGTGCTGTTCAAAGATTGCAGTTGATATAAAATGCTGTGCTAGACTCCTCTTTTGAATAAGACTTGTTGAACACATTATCCTGGTTATGAAACCACTAGCTTTGTTATCCCCAAAAACCCTTTCCAATTCAGTGTACAATTATCATTTTATTATCTGTGAAAAGGGGTCTTTTACTTATGAGGTTAAGTGGTAAAAGGCTATAAGAGACAATACTTCTATAAGTGGGGGGGTCATGTACTGCACCCATACTTTCTGCTAGCTATGTGATTTATACTACATGCTACCAGTTATGAAGAATAAAGTATATATAACCAGACATACTTCCACACACACCCACCTTACCACTGAATAACAGAATCACAACAATATCAAACTTGCACAGATATACCACAAAGGAAAAAATGAAACACTTAGATAAACACATTAGAAAATAATTCGGCCTCCATAAGGCTCAAAGAAAACAGCACTTCCCTTTCTTTGTGACTAATAATTTATGATTTAGATAGATGGGGAGAGATTTTAGAGGAAGACAGATAGATAATAGATAGATAGATAGATAGATAGATAGATAGATAGATAGATAGATAGATACATAGAGAAATAGAGAGGGAAATAGAGAGACAGATAAATAGACTTATAGATAGATGGGTCTGAATTTGGAGAAACTGTATCTCCTCTTATACATTTCTGGTGCCTTCTAAAAATATAACAACCCATTTGGAAATACAACTGATCAAGTGAATCAGCAATCAAAAGCTTGTTTATACATTTTGACCAGTACTTTTTAAACTAAGAACTTATTCTAAGAAAATCATAAATTTTATTTTCTCCTGGTTACTCATATTTTTAGTTTTAGATGTTCACTTTTCTGTACAATATTTTTTAAAAGAAAATCAATTTAAATAATAACAAGAAAAATATTAAGTTAGTGGTTAAGGTTATAGATATCAAAGGCATACAATATTAAGCAGACATTAAAAACTGTTATAAAGAGCCTATTGCAAATGATTACATTATAATAATTTTAATATTATTTTGAATTATATATGCCATGATTAGCCTGTGTTATATGGTGCATATAAAAATTTGGAAATAAATACACACAAAGATAGCTTGATATGTTTTAGTGCAGGCACTGGAATTGTCCCCCCCTTTTTTCATCTGTCTATAAGAAGAAGCACAGATCTGTGCTTAGAGAATGGGTTCTGGAGTTAGCTAGATGAGAAATTATTTTTGTAGAACTATTACCAGCCATGTGATCGTGGGCAGGTCACTGAAATTCCCTGAGGCTCACTGATCTCATATACAAAACGTTATTAATTGCAATCAAGAGTTTAGACTCAGTATTATTGTTCGGTATTATTACATGATAAGTAAAAAGGCAAATGTTTTATTTTCTACATTATATATGTATAATATTATATACACAGTATATATATTTTATAAAGATGCACATATATATGCACACTCATAGCTGTAAATATGCACATATAAATGTAGATAAATTTTGTATTTTTTTATAAATATATACGTTCATATATGGATATATAGATTCACACATATGTAAATATATGCATGTTTTCTACTTAGGCTTTATAAATGTATACACACATACATATATACACATGTCAAATGAAATTTAGGTATTAATTCAGTGGTTATGATAATCAGCAAATACTTATGCTATTTTTAAAATTAGAAACAAAGATTATATTCAGAAAATCTACTACAAGATGTGAACATCTCTCACCAATTTCAAAAAAGTAATGCTTCCACAGTGATTTCCAGGTAACAAAGTGATTTTTCTCTTATTCAAATCTTTACATGACTTGTCTCCAAACATTTTTTACTATGGTATTCTACACAGCATATGCCTTTGATTTTCCAAGCACTTTCCTTTCTTTGGATTTGCCATATACTTTGGTTCCTCCACAATTTTGCGTGGATAATACAGTCTAGAACACACTTACTCTTTACTGGATCTCTTAAAATTCCATGCATCCTTTCAGTCCCAGCTCTGATGTCTCAGCTGCCAAGAAGTCTTTCCAAATAGGACTACTTGCTTTCTTCCTTTTGATTGTATGCACCTTTGCTAGAAACTTCCCCACAGCATTTGTTTTTATGTTTCTTTCCATTTCACCACCTCCTCTATTTCAACCTGTCCTGCTAGCAAAGTAATGGGTATGAAAGCCATGTCATAATTATCGCCCAGAACCTAACGCAATCCCTGGCACATAATAGGTTATTCAACAAATGTAAGAGAGAAGAAAATACTACAAAGAGAAAAAGAGAAGATAGGAGAGAATGAAGATGGAAGAAGAAAGAGAGAGAAAAACGTGGTAATTGAAGCTTGCTGCTTCAGGGACTCAGCCCTGGAGCATGCAACCACTTGAAAACTATTAATAATTGCCATGTCTCCAGGGACCAGAGACATACAGATGTTGTTACACAGTCACAGAGCCACTAAGTGTGTGTGTCTGGTGGGAGGGTGGGGGTGAGTGTGGCAGTATTTGACTTCAAGTCTTACTGCTTCAAGGCTCAAGGGCTACTTCATTCCATCACAGCCTGAGTCACATCTTGAGATTATGCTGGTTTGCCAGAAGAAGGACATAGCACTACAATTAATGCTAGTGAGGTGAGTGTGTTTTATAGACTGAAGAACACGGGGTTCTCATTGTTTCTGTAGATATTTTATTCATTTCATAATTGACATTTGAAGTTTTAATTAAATGTCTCAATATAAATTTGTAGGGCAGTGTTCTAATATTTCATATATTCTCAAGAATACTCAAAAAAGGTGGTGCTGATGGGCTATGGATTCTAGAAATATTTCATGAATATAATTACTTGGGGATGAATTCATGAAAAAACAATTTCTTTGATATACATGCTTTACCAATGAATGATGTTCTGGTGTTACTTGCTATTTTTGAAGATTCATAGTTATTTATTTCTCTTGGCAAATATATGGTTATGACATGCAAATTCTCCTATAAGAGTTGATAGGAAAACAATTCATTTTCCACAGGTGAAAATATATTATCACATGAATATTGGGAATTCAGAATGTGACCCAGCAATGAGAAAGGTCTTGGACAAAGTCCCGCAGCCTGCAGCTGTGGCGTCCAAATCTTGGTCTTTAGAAACTTAATTATAAAATTTTTTTTTAATTTGCCTAGAAACTCCATGTCTGATAAAAAGAATGTAGAAAATAATATACTCTCCTTTGCCAAAAAATATCTCCGCAGAATGCTTAGTAAGATATTTGTCCAACAATCACCTTCTATGCTATCCCAGCATCTTAATATGATTCTGTTTGACAGGCATGGCTCTGTCATATAGGTTTTATATATTAACCTCTATATGCCCTGCCCCATTTATGCTTGGAAATTGTTGCTATAGAATAGCGGGCTTGAAAGCTTTAAATCAGACCGCT